>NC_000007.14:45997817-46300848 GCF_000001405.40 Homo sapiens | reverse complement strand
GTCAGCATTTGATGTTGTCACTATACTTATTTAGCCATTCTGATAGGTATGTAGTTGTCCCTCATTGTGGTTTTAATTTACATTTACCTGATGGCTAATAATGTTGTAAATCTATTCATGTGCTTATTTACCATTTCTATGTGCTTTTTGGTGAAGTGTTTCTTTATGCTTTTTGTCCATTTTCTAATTGGCTTGTTTTTATAGCAGCTGACTTTTACAAGTTCTCTATATGTTTTATAAACTAATCCATTGTAAGATATGTGGTTTGAAAATATATTCTCCCAGTCTGTAGGCTGTCTTTTCAATCTCTTTACATGAGCTTTCAAAAACAAAAAGGTTTTATGAGGTCCAATTTATCAATTTTACTTTTTTAATGGATCATGCTTTTGGTGTTAAGTCTAAAATCATTTTCCTAGCTCCAAATCTCAAAGATTCTTACAATGTATTTTTTTTAATGTTATAGTGTTACATTTTACATTAAAATTCATGACTCATCTTGAGTTGATTTTTATATAAGGTCTGAGACTTAACTGGAGAATAATTTTTACCTATGGATGTCCAATTGCTCAAATATCATTTGTTGTCAAAGCTATGCTTCCTCAATTGAATTGTTTTTGCACCTTTGTTAAAAATCAGTTGATCCGATTTGAGTTCATTTGGGTGAAAAGCATAATGTGTAGGTCTAAGGCCTGGGTTTTTATCTTATTTTATTTATCGATTTTTGCATCTAGATGTCTGTTTGTTCCAGCACTATTTATTGAAAAGACTATCATGCCCCCCATTGAACTGGTTCTGCTCTTTTGTAAAATATCAACTGGCTACCTTTGTCTGGGTCTATTTCTGGACTTTCTAGTCTCTTCCATTAATGTATTTATCTATTGTTTAGTCAATACCACATTGTCTCGATTACTATAGCTATATAGTAAGAATATCAAGTAGAGTGATTCTTCCAACTTTATTCTTCCCAAGATTTTCCAGAGCTATTCTAAGACTTCTCCTTTTTCATAGATGTTTTAGAAGTTTGTCTATGTTTTCAGAAAAAGTCACCTTGATGAGATCTTGACAGAAATTACATTAAACCTATAAATTGATTTAGGTAGAATTGAAATCTTTACTATGCTGGATCTTCTAATCTATTAACACAATGTGTCTCTTCATTTATTTAGGCCTTTTAAAATTTCTTTCATCAGAATTTTATGATTTTCATCATACAGAGCACATATAGTTTTATTTGAAGTAATTACAAATAGTCCTGTGTTTTCATAGCATTTTTATTTTTAATATACACTAATATAATTAATTTTGGGTGTTGATATTGTATCCTGTAAGCTTGCTGAAGTCACTTGTTAGTTCTAGGAGTATTTTTGTAGATTTCTTGGGATTTCTATGTGGACAACCAAGTTGTCTGCAATAGGGATATTCATATTTCTACCTTTTTGATCCAAATGCCGTTATTTTCATTTTTTACCTTGCTACATAAGCTAGACCTTCTAATAATATGTTGAATAAAAGTGGTGAGAGTAGACATCCTTGCCTTAGTCTGAATTTTAACAAAAAAATATCAATCAGTTGTTCATCATAAAGTGTAATGTTAGCTGGAGGTGTTTTGCAGGTGTTCTTTATCAAACGGAGAGAATTCTTCTATTTTTGTGAGAGTTTTTTAAATAATAAATGAGTATTAAATTTTGCCAAATACTCTGTTCTGCACCAATTGATATGATATTTCTAGCTTGGTGATACGGTGGATCACATCGCTTCATTTTCAAATGTTGCACCAGCCTTGCATACTCAGAATAAGTATCACTTGCCTATGGTGTATAATACTTGTAAGGCATTGTTAGATGTGGGTGCTAATATGTTGTTGAAAAATTTTATGTTAATGAAAAATACAGGTCTTAGTTTCTCTCTCTCTCTCTCCCTCTTTCTCTCTCGCTCTCTCTTTCTCCCTCTTTCTCTCTCTGTGGGTGTGTGTGTGTATGTGTGTGTGTGTGCTACCTTGGTTTTACTATTAGAGTGATACTGGCCTCATAAAGTGAGTTGGGAAGTACTACTCCAACATCTTCTAACCATCTGGTCTTGGAAACTACTTTTTCCAGAGCTTTTAATCACCAGTGTAATTTATTTAATAGTTACATGCCTAGTCAGAGTTTCTGTTTCATTTTGGTTGTGTTTTGGTAGTTTTTGATTCTCAAGGAATTGGTTCATTTATTCAAAGTTGTGGGATTTGTGATATAAGGTCATTTACAGTTTTACTTTATTATCTTATTATCTTATCTGCAGCCATTCAGCTGCAGAATCTGTCGTGTTTTACCCCATTTCATTCTCAACATTGGTGATTTATTTGTTTTTATTTTTGTCAGTGTTGCTAACAGTATCAATTTTACCGATTGTTTTTGAGAAGCAACTTTTTACTTTATTGATTTTTCTCTAATGTTTTTATATTTTCAATTTCATTAATTTCGGCTTTTATCTTTATTTTCTTTCCTCCTCTTACTGTTGGCTTATTTTGCTCTTGTTTTTCTAGTTTCTTGAGGCAGAAAGTTAAATTATTCCTTTAGGACCATAGTTATCCATTTCTAGTGTAAGCATTTAAGACTATAAATTTTCTTCTCAGTTTTACTTTCACTGCATCCAACATACTTTGATATGTAGTCTTTTTGCTTTAATTTAGTAATACAAATAGTTTTATTTATTTTGAGACTTTTAATCTTTCTTCTTTATGCCTGCAGATTCTTTTATTATTTTCTTTCCATTTGAAAAATTTCTCTTTGGCAATCTTTAAGGGCAGCCTTCTTAGTAACATGTTCTTTTACCTTTTTTTTTTAACCGTTGAGAATGTCTTTTCTTTCTCCTTCATTCCTGAAGAATAATTTCACAGGTTATATAATTTGTGTTTGACAATTCTTTCAGTACTTGAGAAATGTACTGCTTTTCCTTGAGGTTTCAGACAAGAAATCAACCTCAACCAAGTTGGTGTTTTCCTATATGTCATGCATTGTTTGCTTTCACCTACTATCGAGAATTTTTTCTTTGCCTTTAATTTTCATATCTAACTTATGATTTATTCTTGGAATGAATCTACTTAGGGATATCTTATTCAAGGTTTGTTCTGCTTATTGGATCTGTAGATTTGTATCTTTCATCAAGCTTGGAACTCTTTCACTCGGTATTTGCTTAAATAGTCTTTCAGCCTGACCTTCTCTCTTCTGAGAGTCATTCATTCTATATAAATGTTCAAGCTTTTGTTATTGGCCCACAGATACCTTGGTCTTTGTTTATCTGTTTAGCCTGTTTACTCTCTGTTGTTCAGATTGAATGACTGTCATTGATTCATCAAAATTCCTCACTTCTAGCCTCTGTCATCTCCAGTCTACTGTTGAGCCCACTTGGCAAGTTATTTTTTCCTCAATTCTGTATTTTCCTTTCTCTGTTTTAAAGAACTACAGTTTCTTTGTGAAGATTTGCTTTTTTCATTTGTTCCAAAATAATTTTTAGAAGTTTTATGGCTTCAGGAGTTATGTTTAACTCTTTAACTCAAAATGGTTTGAGTTTATTTTTGCATATGATATAAGATAAGGGTCCAAAGCCATTATTTTGTATATGAATATCCAGTTTTCCCAACACCATTTATTTGACTATTCTTTTCCTCTTTGTATATTCTTCATGCTCTCATTAAAAATTAGTTGATCAAGCATAAAACTCCCAGAAGAAAACATAGAAAAAAAAACCTCCTATACACTAGGGTTGATTGGCGGTAATTTCTTGCCTGCACCAAAAGTACAGACAAGAAAAACAAATATCAAAAAGTGGGACTACATCAGACTAAAAAATATCTACATAGAAAAGAAAGCAATGAAGGAAATGAAAAATTGACCTAGAGATTAGAAAAAAAACTGTAAATTATATATCTCAGAAGTAGTTAATATCCTACATATATATATCAATTTGTATAATTCAACAGCAAAAAAAAACAAGTAACCCAATTAAAGAATGATCAAAGAAGCTAAATAGACATTTTCCAAAGACATACAAAATGGACGTATGAAAAGGTGCTCAGCATTACTAATCATCAGGGAAATGTAAATCAAACCCACAGTGAGCTATCCCCTCACACCAGTTAGGATGACTATTATCAAAAAGGCAAGATACAACAAGTGTTGATGAGTATGGAAAGAAAAACTAACTCTTATATACTGTTGGTAGAAATGTGAATTTTGGCTGCACCAATTCACATTTCCACCAACAGTATACAAGAGTTAGTTTCTCTTCACATACAGAGAGAGTATACAAAACAGACAACAAAAGAAAAAATTAAAAAGTGGAACTACATCAAACGAGATGTAGAATATGGAAAATAGTATAAAGGTTCCTGAAAACACTAAAAGTAAAGCTACCATGTGACCCAGCAATCACACTTCTGAGTGTATATTCAAAGAAACTGAAATCAGATTTGAAGAGATATCTACACTCCCATGTTTATTGTAGCATTAGTCACAATAGACAAGATATGGCAACAACATGAATACCCATTGGTAGATTTCTGGATAAGAAATTCCACACACAGTGGAATATTACTCAGCTTTAAAAAAAAAAAAGAAGATTCTAGGAGATTCTGTCATTTGAACAATATGAACAGTCCTGGTAAACATTATTTTAAGAGAAGTAAGCCAGATACAAAAAGACAAACACTTCATGATCTCACTTATATGTGGAATCTAAAAAAGTCAAATAAATAGAAGCAGAGAGTAGAACAGTGGTTACCAGAGACAGAGAGATGGGATAAATGGGGAGATGTTGGACAAAGGGTACAAAGTTGCAGTTACATGAGGTGAATAAGTCTATAGATCTGGTGTATAACACCATTAACTGGCTATAGTTAATAATATTGTATTGTATACTATAAATTTGTCCAGAAAATAGATTTCAGGTGCTTTTTTACCATATGCACAACAAAAATGATAACTGTGAGAGGAGATGGATATGTTAATGTACTTGACTGCAGTGACCATTTAACTATGTATTTCTTTATCAAAATATCATGTTATACACCTTAATTATATAACATTAAAAAGAAGAATTTCCAATAGATTGCTATATCTTTTTTTTATTATTATTTTGAGATGTCACCCAGCTAGGGTGCAGTGGCGCAATCTTGGCTCACTGCAACTTCCACTTCCCATATTCAAGCAATTCTCCTGCCTCAGCCCCCAGAGTAGCTGGGATTACAGGTGCCTGTCACTATGCCCTGCTAATTTTTATTATTATTATTTTTTAGTAGAGATGGGGTTTCACCATGTTGGCTAGGCTGGTCTCAAACTCCTGACCTCGTGATTCACCTACTTCGGCCTCCCAAAGTGTTAGGATTACAGGTGTAAGCCACCGTGCCCAGCCAATTGCTATATCATTTTTTATGACAGCCTTAAAACTCCATCTGATAATTCCAGCAGCTCTTTAATCTTGGTGTGGGCATCATTTCATTGTCTTTTCTCATTCAAGTCATGATTTTATTAATTCCTGGTAATGTTTGCTGCATCCTACACATTTACCGATTATAAAAGGCAACTCTAGGACCTGGTTAAATCTATTACTTTAGCCGGTAGTTGCCTTTGTTAGGTCTGACCTGCTTTGCAGGTTGTGGTTCTAATGGAAGTTTACTCATCAGAGCTTTTCAGTGTCATTTTGGTCTGCTTGTTAGATATGGTACTGCTGGGGCTCCCACTGGTTCCTGTTGTGCCACCTGAGGGACAGAAAGTTTTTCCCCAGCCTGGCCATTGGGGAGGACAGCATGTGGTGGAATTCAACTCCTCAGTCATCCCTAGCTCATGCCTAGGCAGTCTGGAGGGTCTTGGGCCATGAGGACACAGAGGCTTCATGGCTGGGCTGCTGTCTGACTGGGGACTTCTTTCCTGTTCTGCCTTCCCACCTGGTGTCTCTAGGTGGACAGAGGACTGCCTGGTAGGGCAGGAGGGCGCCTCCCTTGGTGGCCAGTCTCCCTGTCAGTCCCCCTGAGGTGTTATCAGGATTGCCTCATGTTCTCAGAGGGTCTCCCATCCAATCCAGGAAAGGGAGCAGCCTGCCTATACTGCCATTGGTTGTTAGGGTGGGGATCAGCAAAGATCAGGTCTGAGTGACCACCTCTGTTGGGTGAGGGATACAGGACCCCCACCCTGTGCTCCTTCTCAAGTCCTGAGGTCCTAAACAGCTTCCCACCTCCTTCCCTCGCTCCCGATCTTCCTGTGGTTTCTAGTTGTGTTTGGCAGACACCCATCCATTTGTCATAAATTTTAACAGTGACGAAATGCTTCAACTGAGCAGTTAGAGGTGAATGACAAGAGCTGTTTGACAAGCTTGTGGGGACTCTAAGGGAAAGGAGCTGACCCTTGGTGCTCACATACTCTGCAAGGGTGACGTTGGCCCCTGGTGACTGAGGAAGAACCAGCCTTCTCTCCCGACAAGATCAAGTGGGTGGGATCTCGGCAGACTAAAGTGGGCGACAATGAGCTGATGAGCCCTCTGGTGCCTAACTGGGCCCACGGCCTTACGTTTGGCTGCAAGCAATTCTCACAAGTGGGCAGCAGACATCCACTTCTTCAGAAGGACAAGTCTCAGACATTGGTCTCAGTCAAGCCCACCTGCGGATAATTTTATAAGAAATATGTAAGATCTGTAAGTAGAGAGCTTTAAAAACTAATGGAGCAACACAAAGATTAACAAATGGAATAATTAAAAGACATATACGTTATTTAATGAGAAGATTGAATCTCAAAAAACATATAATTTATCTTTAATCTAATAATAAAAATGCTACCAATAATGGTAATAAAAGAACATTTTTAATAGATAATTCAAAGTTCATATGGAAAAATTAAGATGAAAGAATGTCTACAAAATATCCAAAAGATAAAAGCAATGGGAAGACAAGCACAAGCCTCATCATATAATAAAACAAATCTAGAATACAACAATTTTATTCTGAGAATACAAAAATCAATGAAAGAAAATATAGAGTCCAGAAATGGAACTAAATTAATATTAGGAATTATATATGATAGATATTACATTTTAAATCAAAAGGAAAGGATGGATTATTTCATTACTGGCAATGGGAAATACATATGGAAGAAAATGAAGTTGCATCCTTACAATACTCCTTAAACCAAAATAAACGCTGGTTGGATTGCCTGTTTACACCAGAAGAACACAATAAGCCATACAAGTAAGAAAAAAAGAAAACATGGGTAATTTTTGTAACTTTAATTTGAGTAGGAGGATGTTTTCCTTAAATGTATAATTCCCTAAAATAAAATGCATACTGTCATTTTTTTCTTCCAGTGTAGCAGAAAAAGGGGAGAAAGAGAGAGTGTCTGTGTACAGATATTTTTAGAGATATTCAAAGGGTAGGAGACAAGAAACTACAGAAAAATGGACAAGGTGCATTAAACAGACAATTCCCTGAAAAGGAAATCCAAATGCCACTTGAAGCTCTGCTAGATGACCTAACCTGGCTCATAGTTAAACAACTGAAACAAGGACAAAATATTGTGCTCCTCCTCTCAGACTGCAGACACCAATATGTTTAGTAATGGACTTTTCTTTTGAAGTTATTGGGAAACAGGAACCTCGGATATAAACGTTTGGTTGTGAGCGTTCACTGCACACCTATTTGCAGTTGATTTGGCAGTGCTGGCAGTTTCATCCAACATGAAATTCTAGCCATGTGGAAAACAAGCGTGCATCCCCTTTATCATTTCACTTTTAGTGAGTTGAGCTGCATACGTACACATAGGTGCTCACACACGTGTACAGATGTGTGCACATTCATCGAATTCAGTGTGGTAGGAAATGACTGGAGAACATTCCCAGTGTTCAGCAGTGGGTCATAAATCGTGGCTAAAAAGAGTTCATTGAAACCATGAAACACAATATAGTCATTAAAATGTTCTCCAAGTGATGAAAGGAAAGAAATCCTAGAGATTAAGGGAAAGAAGGTAAATGAAAAAAGTGTGTAAAGAAGTGGGGTGGTAAACTTTGTCACGTAAATGCCTGTGCACTCATGTCTGCAAAGGTACAAAGAAAGCGGGAGGACAATCATGGGGAACTCCCTCAGTGAGCCTGGTATGGGGTTGCGGGAGAAGAAATACTTTTTTTAGTGTATTATTTTATGGCACTTGAATTTTCTACTTTAAACAGTTTTATTAAAAATACTATGTTTTTAAAATAGACTTTTGCAGGTAGCATATAAAACCTCATCAGAGAAAATGAAAGAAAAGTAAAGTGAGAAACAGACAAATGGATCCAGAGAACAGATCCTTTTCCCAAATGCATCTTAAGCAAGACCCAACAGTTGGCTGTTAGAGAATTTCCAGGACCCCCAGCCGCTGTCAGTATAACTTTATAACTGAACCATTTAGAAATGAACATAATCTGTAAGTAAAGTTGGCCACATCTAACCTTCTGAGTGCATGTGGCTGTTTTTTTTTTCTCCAATACTTAAATTTGAGGCTATTTCTGTGCAGAATAGAAGTATTTTTATGTGTGTTTTCTTGTCTGTAGCAATTGAGATATCAGAAGGAATGAAAAGTACATCTTTGATCTATTCACTATGGAGGCTTTTAAATTTTTGATTTCCAGCCCAAATTTCAAACTCAAATAGGAATAAAATAGGTACTGTTATAAATAAACACCACAACAGTAACAAATACAAAGGAAAAAGGAAGCCAGGGACCAAACAGCAGCTTCCTCATTCTTCCTTTCCTGAACTGGCAGTTCTGGGATGGATTGGCAAAAGTCATGTGAAGTGTGGGGTTTATGGCCTGTTTTTGCTGGTCCCAAGGGCTCCAGGTTAAGAGTTCTGTTGACAGAGGCCAAGGGAGCCCCTGTTTACTGGGGAAACGAATGTTTCTTTACAGCAAAGGCTGGGTAATCCCAGATGCTGAACTAAGAAACAGCTTGTTCTTTGTATCAAGGAATTTACTCTTAAAGCATGCTTCTTATTTTTAGATTTCAAACCCCAAGGGCTTTGACTGTGGCTGAGTCAGTGTTCCCTGAAACTATTAGTATATTGCTCTCACACATCAAGTTTTAGTATGAATCATTAAAAATAACACTGCACGTAACCCGCCAGTTTTGTTAAGTAGATGGACAGGTAAGAGGGATGACTATTTATCCTAGACCAGATCAAAATGGGCTCAGGATTCTCAAATGACACATTTAAGGAATAAGTAACTAATTCATTAATTCGGTTTGATCATTGTTTTATTTGTGTTTTGGGTTTTGTTTTGCTTTCTTTTTCTAGAAAATCAAGGCACAGAGCTACACGATGTCCTTACCCAGTAGAATCCAGTCTACTAAGGAATAAGATCAACTTTCAGGTGACCAAGAATTATGATCAATCATTCCCTGGGTATTCTTGTTTCATCACCCATCCATCAACACACAAGAGACAAAAAACCCTTTCACAGCCTCCTTGAGAGATGTTGTGCAGGTGAGATGCATGTATTTGCCCAGAGTTGTGGGCTGAGATCAGGGGCCTCTGGAGTAATGTGGGCAATGCAGGTAATGGGATCAGAATGACTCCGCAGGCCTGCGAGCCACGCCTGACAGAGCCAGCTGTGCACTCCCTCTCCAGAAAGGAGAGGTCTGAGTAATGGTGGCCAGGCTCCTCTCTGGCTGGGTGGGTGGCTCCTCTGGCCTAAAGCCAGAGAGCAGCTTCTCAGATTAAATCAACGTTTTGCACCATGCCCTGAAGCAAGTGGGGCCGTTTCCAGGGACAGCTTTGGGTTTAGTGTGCTGACTGTGTGTCCCAGCTGAGCCATCTCAGTGGCACCCAGTCCTGGTGTCTGGACATCTGGGAGATTTCTATTCTTAACCAGGTAGCCCTGAAAACCAAAGCCTCAACTTAGTCTCTTAAAAAAGGGGGAATTATAGTCCCCATGCAACAGGGTAGGTATTCACTAAATACCAGTTCCTTCCTCTTTAGAGGTTATAAAACCTTGGTTAACAGATAAGTGCAGAAAGTCAACACTCAGTTCCTGCTTGTTGAATCTGAACCACCACTGGAAGAAAGGCAGGCAGGGGTCTTCCCTCTGGTCAGCAGCACTTTCAGATCTAGGGGCTGAATAAAGGATCTACTTCCTCCTAGTTACACATTTAATGTGGACCCTTCTCTGTGAAGAGGGATATTCATTTGCAAGTCTTCTTTAGTGCCAGCACTGGAGGCTACTGCTGACCCAGAAGGAGGGGGTCTGGTGCACACCTTATCAAACATGTCAACACCACTTAAAGCAATGGGCTCAGGAGCCCAAGCCTCACTCCTGAACCCTCCTCTCTAAAGCTTCCCAGACAGGGGCTGAGGTATAATGATTGCATGTTGCAATAAAGCTGACCTAAAAGGTCTCCAGCAACACAGGCATTTAGCACAATGAAATCATACAAAAGTGGAATTCTGTGCAACGTTGTACCAATGGCAGGGCAGTGGGCATGCCCCCCATTCTGGGTGCAGGCAGTGAGGGGTACATTGTCTGCAGAAAACTTAAAGACAATCATAAAACCCTATAAAAATCAGCCTGGTTTTCATCACCAGTGTTTGCCAGAGATTCTAAACAACACCAGTGATAAAATGCTCCTTTACCCCAAAAAGATGTTGTTGGCCTATGACCTAAATCACTGCTCCCAGCTACATAGCTGGAGGATTCAGCTACAACTGCTCACTTCTAGAATACATTTGTAAGGCATAGAAATCCTTTGGGTTCCATTTTAGTGCAATCTGTGTGCCCAAACCCTGGGGTACAACACATTCCTGAGTTTCAAGCAGGACGTTCTAATCAGCAATGATGACACAGTGACCGTCAGGGTAGAGAAGCAATCTCAGTCTTCCTCTGGCCCTGTCAACCTGGAGCACAGTCTGGGAGGTGTGACCTCCTTGTTGAGGAAGAACAAATGTCTATATTAAATATTTTTATATTTAATATTAAAGTAAGTTCCTATATGAAATATTTCACTGAATTTGAAGAATGGATTTTTAAATGACATTTATCCTTTTGAAAACTTATTTCATCATTAAAGGATGAATCTAGAAAATAATAATGATGACTGATTATTTCATGCCTATTACTGAAAATAATTTGGCATATACAAGACAGAAATGTTAAAAAAGAAAAAATCTTCTTTGGTTGCCTAACACATAAGTTACACCCCTAGCTATATTGTTTGGAGTATATTTAAAGATTATTGGCCAGGCGCGGTGGTTTACACCTGTAATCCCAGCACTTTGGGAGGCTGAGGCGGGCAGATCGCCTGAGGTTGGGAGTTCGAGACTACCGTGGCCAGCATGGCGAGCATGGCCCATCTGTACTAAAAATACAAAAATTAGTTAGGTGTGGTGGCAGGTGCCGGTAATCCCAGCTACTTGGGAAGCTGAGGCAGAAGAACTGCTTGAACCTGGGAGGTGGAGGTTGCAGTGAGCTGAGATTGCGCCACTGCACTCTAGCCTGGGTGACAGTGCCAGACCGTGTCTGGAAAAAAAAAAAAAAAAAGATTACTTTTTATAATAAAGCAAAAGCACAGAACAGAGAAATGAATTTCCCCATTCAGCAAATAGTCCACAGAAGGCCTCAAATCTTGGTGTATTGATTCCACAAGTTCTTTCTACTACCCAGATATAAATCCATTTTTAAAAAATGCCGAGTGAAAATAAGCTCAATCATTTTGGTATGCTCTCTTTTCAGGCACTAGATTTCGACCATATTAAGTGAGTTCATGACCCAGCTCTGTCATTTTTACTGCATGACTAGGAGCAAGTTAGTTAAACTCTCAGAGCTTCAATTTTCTAAATTCTAAAATAGATATTATTAAACATGACTTTTCCACTGGTGGTTGTTAAGTCATCACTGTCACTTGGAAGGGTGGTGAGAACTATCCTCTATCTTGTTCCTTGCCCGATGCAGAGTTGAGCTGGTATCTGTCACTTAAGTACTGTCAATGGCTGGTTGGCTGACCACCTTAGAGAAAAGGCATGCTATAGAAAGAAAAAGACTAGCAAATTGTTCCTTCACATTCTCATGTTGCAATTTCAACTTTTTTTTTTTTTTTTTTAATACAGAGTCTGGCTCTGTTGCCAAGGGTGGAGTGCAATGGCTCTACCATGGCTGACTGCAGCCTTGACCACCTGGGCTCAAGCGATCCTCCCACCTCAACCTTCTGAGTAGCTGGGACTACAGGCGTGTGCCACCATGCCTAGCTAATATTTTTACTTTGTTTTTTGTAGAAACAGGGTCTCACTATGTTGCCCAGGTTGGTCTCAAAATCCTGGTCTCAAGCAATCCTCCCACCTTGACCTTCCAAAATTCTGAAATTATAAGCGTGCACCACTATACCTGCCCCTTTGCTTTTTGTTGAAACAGAAATCGCTGAATATAAAGGATTCTAATGTCTCAGTTGAGAAATGCATAAAAGATAGCTTTTTCATGTTCATGTTCATACAAGCCAAAATGTCACTGCAGAAATAATTAGTTTTATTTTGCTGCTCTAACAACATCCAAACATTTAATCCTGTGGTGCCTTGCACGCACACAGAAAGGAGGTTACAGAAAGGAACAGAGCACTATTAAGATTTAGAAGTGATTTTTGCTACGTCATGATTTCAGGCCATTTGTAAAGACTATGGATCTGACCTTCCTAATTTAGACTTTTGCAGCTGGGTTTTAAATGAGTAAGGAGCTGCAAACTGCATGGAGTCCTTCCCTCAGATGGTGGCATTTTAAAGAAGCAGACAGTGGGAAGATGAAAGCTTGGAGTAGGGAGGTACTCATACACCCACCTGAGGAGCAAACACATTGAAACTAGTTCATACACTAAAAATCCATATTATGGGTCAGGAGATGGGATACATGTCTTTCTGTGAATTTTTTTTTAGAAGATAGAATCTCCTTATGTTGCCCAGGCTAGACACTAACTCCTGGGCACCAACTCCTGATCATCACCTCAACCTCCCAAGTTAGCTGAGACTACAGGTTTGCAGTATTGTACTTCTGTCATTTGCAACAATATGAATGGAGCTGAAGGTCATTATATTAAGTAAAAGAAGCCAAACACAGAAAGACAAATATCACATATTCTCAGAAGCCAAACACAGAAAGACAAATATCACATGTTCTCAGAAGCCAAACACAGAAAGGCAAATATCACATGTTTTCATTCATATGTCCACGCTAAAAAAGTGGATCTCATGGAGATAGAGAGTAGATTGGTGGTTACCAGAGGGTAAGAAGGGTGGAAGACATGAAGAGAGGTTAATTAATAGGCACAAATACACAATTTGATAGAAGTAGTAAGACTTAGTGTTTGATAGATCAGCAAGGTGACTGTAGCTTACAATAATTTATTGTATATTTTAAAATAGCTAGAAGAGAATAATTTGAACGTTTCCAGCATAAAGAAAAGACACACATTTAAAGTGATATCCTAATTATCCTGATCGGATATTTACTAATTGTATAATGTATTAAATTATCACATGCACCCTGAAAATATGTGCATCTATTATGTATCAATAAAAATTAAATTTAAAAATGCTTTATGGCTTAAAAATTGCTTTTTCCCCCTGAGGTTACACTGTCCTGAAAGCAGCTCAGTGTTTGTTGTTGTTGCCATACTTCCCTAAACAGCTTACAGCACATAGAGAAAAGTGGCTGGCACAAGACATGGCTTGGCATACTACCGGCCCTGTGCTGCTCTCTGATCTATTTTGTTCTCCCGTCAACTGTCCCCACTCCCAATGCACTTACCAGGCTTTGAGGAAAGTAGAATCCAATTTAATACAGTGACTTGTCCACAATTACTCAGTAAAATGAAAATCAAGTCCTCTGGTCTGAGGCTTAGATGTAAAACCTAAAACTATAAAACTTCTAGAAGTAAACATAGGAGAAAATCTTTGTGACCTTGGGTTAGGCAGAAGTCTTTTAGATATAACAACAAAAGCGTAATTCATAAAAGAAATGATAGATTGGATCTTATCAACATTAAAAATTTAGCTCTTTTTTTGAATGTGCTAAAATATTAAAGAGTAAAATGAGCTCAAATTACAAATTTGAAAATGAGATGATATTTATAAATAATATGTCTGATAAAAAGCTTGAATCCACGATGTATAAAGAAATTTTAATACTCAATAATAAGAGGAAAAAATAACCCCATTCAAAAAGTGGCCAGAACATATGGACAGAGACTTCATCAAATAAGATATCCAGATGACAAAGACTCACATGCTCAGTGTCATTAGTCATCAGGGAAATGCAGGTTAAAACTACCATGAGATCACACTACACACCTATTAGAATGGTTGAAACCGTAAAGACTGCCCATACCAGGTGCTGACAAGAATATGAAAGAGCTAGAAATCTTATAGACTGATGGTAAAAATGTAAAGTGGTACAACCACTGTTTTTTTTTTTCTTATAAGGCTAAATATACAACTATTTTAAGACTCAGTCATTCCACTTCTAGATTTACCCCCCCAAAAAATTAAAATATATATACATAAAAACTCATACATGGGTACTCACAACAGCTTTATTTGAAATATCAAATAACTGCAAACAACCAAAATGTCCATCAATGGATGAATGAAAAAAAATGATATATTCACACAATGAAATACAACTCCACAACTTGGATAAGTCTCAGAATAAATTATGCTGAATGAAGGAAGGCAGACAAAAACATATACTCCAAGTTCCCACCTCATCCAAACAAAGCAAACCACACACGCACCCACACATATTATAATGAGCTGAAGTTGGGACATCAAGAAGGTGGGATTGACTGGAGCCAGATCTGCAGGAATCCAAAAGATGCTGAGTTGCCTTAGCAGAGATGTCTACAGCAATCAAGAAATTGAGCCTTGGAGCTAGCAACAAGGGCAAGGGAAAGTTTGATCAGAAAGCTGAGTCAAGACTTGCATGCAGAGTGAGGTGGTCAGGTTTCTTTCTAGGAGAAGCAGAAACAAATCTACACTGGGAAACACTTCTCTGCAATTTAGGTCCACAAGGATCTCACTGTCAAGATTAAGCAAAGAGGTAGTAACCAAATTTCACAAAATCCAGAGAAAGCAAAATCCACTAGGATTAAGTATCAACAGAAACAACAAATAACAGGTTTGATCCCTAAGACCAACAGAGCTGGAGATTTTCAGATACATACAAATGTTTCAAATGCATAATTAAAAAAAGACTGATCAACATGAGACTATTAGGAAAAAAGCATGTAGAAATGATAATATAATTGTTAAATACGTTTATGTATAACTCAATATCTAGTGAAAATAGATGATATAGGAAAAGAAATTATGTGCAATAAGATGAAATATATAAAATAGGCATGAATGAATATGAATGATATAATGAGATAGTCTCTCGGCTTGGCTACATTTTGTAAAACTATAGTGACAAATAATCCCAATATCTCAGTGCCTTGAAACAACCAAATGTGATTTACTGCCTACTCTACAAGTCTATTCTGAGCCCTCTGAGGCTATGTTCCCTGTTGTCTTTACTCTGGGACCCAAGGCTCAAGCTACCACAACTTGGAGCATCGTTGTTCACCCTGGTAAAAGAAAAAGGGTTTCAGGAAGGCTCACAATGGCTAAGAAATGCTCCAGGCTGAAAGTATATGCACCATTGTAGCCTACAGTTCATTAGCTAGTAATAGCACATGGCCCCAGGCAACCCAAAGAGGCCAGAAAGGGCAACCCTGCTAGTGACCAGAGCAGTCAGCTGCACACGTTTGATGAACTGGGCTGATGACTGTCACATTTGAACACAGGCCTGATCAGAGTCCTAGAAGGGGAGAGCAGAGAAAACAGAGGTGAGGCAATCTTCAGAGCTCAAGGCTGGAAGTTTTCTATAACTAAACAAACTAACAAACAAACAAACAAACAAAAAAGCAGGATTATACAGATCAATGCATACCATACCATAGAAGATAAAAAAAATAAGAAACCTGCTACTAAATATACTGTATTAAGACTGCAGAATTCAGGAGGAAATCTCAAAAACAGCCAGATAGGAAAAACAGAGGACTTAAACAAACAAACAAACAAAAAAGGCAGGATAAATTTAGATTTCTCAATATCAATGGAAGAAAGAAAATGGTCCAATATTATCTTCAAAAACATGTGAGAGAAAATAACCGTCAACCTAGTATGTGTACAAAGAAAAGTATCGTTCAAAGAGTGAAATAAAGACATTCAAACATAATCAAAAAAATAGAAAGAATTTTTTAAAACATTGCATTCAAAGAACTTCTAATGCAGATGCTTCATGAAGAAGAAAAATTATCCCAGAAGCTAGGCTGAGAGGCAAAAGGAAGCAGTGAGCAAATACAATGCGGCCTTGCAAACAGCTCCTAACAAATGTCATCCATAAAAAGTAGTCACAATTGCTATTTGGTATTAACTTTTTAAAAAGCGCAGAACTAAAAATCCTCTGTAGCAGTGGTGTTGGCTCAGGAAGGATGTGTTCGATTTCAGTTTCTCATGTTGTTTTGTTGTTCAGATGGATCCTCCTGGGCCTTGAAGAAAACCCTCCCCCACCAGCATCTTTTAGCCCCTTCTGCAGCCAGGCAGGGCTTGGTAAAGCCCCCCTTTTCCTGTTTGGACTGTGCATCCATTCGTTCTATTTGCCTTGTGCCAGTGAAGGTGAAATTCATCTGGATCCCACAGTTACTATTCCTCACATGCCTCGGTGACGTCACCTCTCTAAAGTCAAGATATTTTATTCCCAGAACTCTAAAACTTCCACTCCCGCCAGGATAGACTTACTCCTAATGAACCCTTCCCAGGGCCTGGCACCCGTCTCGCTGTTCTTTACTCTCCAGTTTTCCTTTTCCTGAGGGTTCTCCCTTTGCTGAGGTCACCTCCGTTTCTTTCCCATGGGGGCTTTACAGAGCTCTCTGTCAAAGAGGCAGATTTGGTATATTTTGTTGTATTCAATTTCTTCATGTGTATACAGACACAGTAGTTTGCATAATTGCAAAAGTAAAACCAAGATATTTATCGTGCTGTTCCTTTTTAGTCTAAGGTTTCTATTTTCTATTTTCTTTTTGTTTGCTTCTACTCTTTCTCTATCCTTCCGCATCTCTTTGTCTCAACTCTCTCCTAGACTAACTTCAGTTAATTCATGTGAAACACTTAGTGTGCTACCTTCTGTGTTTTCTCCCATATTTTCATAATAAAAGAACACAAACACACACACACTGAGGAGGTAGCATTGTTTTAAACATTTTCTGCATCTTGCTTTTTATACGTAACAATATCATGCAGAACGCTAAAAAAACTTTGAGGCTTTCTTCAAAGCTTTTTGATAGGAAAAGAAGACTTTTAATATTGGTTCCGGCTTATTGAATAAAATGTGCATCCACACACACACATACACACACACACACACACCTGCATATACACACACACATCCTTGGCTTTGGTTCACAATATGGATCCCCTGTGGAATCTCATTTACAGCCCTTCTCCCACTTCTTCAAGTCTGGCTCAGGGGCAGGCATTATTTGTTAATATTTCACATGAAAGAATATAAAGGCTTTACAGGAATGGAAATCCATAGACTAACAACTTAATGTTCCATTAAGAATTAAATCGTCTGATGCATTAATAATAACTTCTTAAGTGTTCATAGATATTTATAGCTAAGAAAACCCTCATGATAAACATGGTAGACACCACACTCCTGGCTTTAGGGATAAGGAATGTGAAGCTCAGCACATATGAAGCAGCTCACCTGAAATCATGCTGCTAGATACTGCAGAGCTGGGAACTCAACTCAGAAATGTCCTACCATGAACTTGAAGCATTTCAAGTTAATATTTATAAAGCTTCTTATGAACTGGACTAACAAAAGATACAACTGCTCTAGGTGTCTTAGTTACTCAACTTCACCCGGCCCAACTCCCAACCTCAAGCTCCAAAAGTTTGCTTGAGTTCTCAAGAGCATAAATTGACTAGACTTTTGTATGCATAGATTATTACATATATGTTTATATATCCACATATATGAAATAATTCTGATCGTGAGAGGGAATATTTATTTTTAAATTTAATGAATCTGTAAAAAAAATCTAGTCACTAAAAGTCCAGTGTTCATTGCAAAATTTTGTTCAACTTGTTAAAAGATTCATTTGGTCCTTTACTCTAATGTAAACAATAAAATTCAACCTCATATTCTGTCCTCTGGCTATTAAATCGACAGCAAAGACAACTGAACTGTCCCAGTCCACTATAAATGATATATTTTAAAAGGTTAGACTCACTTTTAATGAAAAAATAAAGTGGTAATTGCAATGCATATAAAAACCACCCATTTGCCTCTCCACTTTAGGCAGATAAAGGCTTTGTTTCCATGTATGGGCAAATGCCCTCAACATCTCACCCCATTCCCTCATTCAGGAAAACCCCAGCCAGGCTGAGAGCAAAGAATTTCCCCTCTGCACTGCAGACAAGTGATCTTTTGCACTAAGCCACAGGTGCAGACAGAAAAGAGAATGGGACAAAGACAAGTCATGAAAGAAGTAAATGGAAGTTAGAAACTTCCTTGCTTTTGTGTTCCTAAAAAAAAAACCAACAAAAAATACGCTAAGGCAAATGAAGCCAGATTTCCTTTGTGGAATATAATTACCTAAAGAGGACAGCTTTGCTTCATTCAAAAGAGCTGTTCAAAGCTTCATATCCAAGCACCTCCCCTCTCTCTCTTCCCAAGTTCTTTAAAAGGAATGACTTTCATTAAGGCCTTTTCTGAGATTCTTTCTGGATATACGCAACTTATTGCAATGAACCTCAAGCCTTTTCTAAATCTTGAAAGACTGGGTACTGCAACACTACAAGGCACCCAGCTCTATCTTTTTTTTTTTTTTTTTTTTTTACTTAAAATATATAGGTTTGATTGGTTTTGTTTTTTGAGCTGTGGCTGACATGAAATTCTCACATGCACACCAAGAACTTGGCAAATAATAAGCCTTCAGTATATCCTAGTATTATTTTTAATGAAATAGACAAGACTGATTATTGCTTTGTCTCACTATGTTTGTGGTCAGCACCTACAGAACCATGTCCTAAGGAGAAGACAATGATACATTTATTCCATAAAGCTAATTGAGTAGCCAAACTAATTTATGCCTTTCTCCGCACCTGATCCCCTTATCAACCCTGTTAATGGGTAGCTTATTTCCACTTAGACCAAATAACGAACTCACAGAAAGGTTCAAAAACCTGAACAAGTTTGTATAACTAATAAGTGGTAGAGCTTAGTTTCAAACCAAGGACTTGTCAGCATTTTTTTTCAGTCCATAATGCATCTCACACAGAAAGAAACCTAATATGCGCTCTCTTCCTTCCCTGACCTAGCCAGAATGTTCAAGCATTTTCATTAGTAATTTACTTAGTCTTACAGACAGCAAACCTGGTGAGAAACTATGTCACTACTGGTATTCTATAGGTAAGGAAAGCAAGAGGTCACAGCCAGTACTCAGTACAGGTTAAACCTGTTTTTCTTTGTTTATATCTGAAGCTTCAAACACTTTTGTTTAAAACCATCTTTATATCTGCCTTGTAATGATTTTTGTAATATTGGGTAATCATCTCACCAAAGGGTGTGTGTGCCACAGTTGATTTAACCTTTGATATGTGGTTGGGCATTTAGAGAAACTAAAAATGTCTCCTGTGAAGAATGCAATGTAATTATTAACATATTTGTACATGGTGCTTATTCTGAGATCGCTACCTAAGGCAAATGTTTTAGGATCAAATATATCAAATAGCATATATTTTTAACTCTAGGGTAACCACTAAAAAGGTTAAAATAAAAAACTAAATAAGTCAGTAGAGAAGACCAAAGGAAAATACATAAAATGCTTGAGTAAACCTAGAGAAGATAAAAAAGACACAAGAAACAAAGAACTATTGGAACCAGTATAAAATAGCTAGTAAAATAGGGTTAACCCAATCAAATCAATAAACAGTTTAAATGTAAATAGTGTGAATAAACACATTAATTGGAAGACAGAGTTGTCAGATTAGATTCTAATAAAAGCAAGACCTACATTTATGGCATCTTTGAGAAACTCACTTTTAATATAAAGGCATACATAAGTTAAAAGAATGAAGACTGATATACCATAAAAATACTAATAAAAACAAAATAGGAGCTTTGTTATATATTAATATCCAACAAAGTAGACTTCAGAACAAGCAGGATTTATCAGAGAAGAAGATGTATATTATGTAATAATAAAAAGGTAAATTCTACAGGAAAACAAACTAACCCCAAATATAGTTGTACCAAATAACCTAACTTGAAAACACATGAGGCCAAAACTGGTAGTTTTAAGAGGAGACAGAGAAATCCACAATTATAATTGGAAGATTCAACATTCTTCTCTGAATATTTGATATGACACATAATCAAAAATTATTAAGGGTGTAAATAACCTAAACAACATTATCAGCCAACTTCTCCTAATGGATATTAATAGAATGTTTTACTCAATAAGAGCAGAATACACATTATGTTCAAGTGCACATGGAACATTTACCAAAATAGTATTGGGTTACAAAACAGCCCTCAACAAATTTAAAATAATAGAAATTATATAAATAGAATAAAATTAAACTGAAATCAATAATAACAAAAAATAGCTAGAAATTCTATTAATATTTTGGAATTAAAAAGTACACTGCTGGCCCGGCATGGTGGCTCATGCCTGTAATCCCAGCACTTTGGGAGGCTGAGGCAGGTGGATCACCTGAGGTCAGGAGTTCAAGACCATCCTGGGCAACAAGGTGAAACCCCATCTCTATTGAAAATACAGAAATTAGCTAAGTGCAGTGGCACGTGGCTGTAATCCCAGCTACTCAGGAGGTTGAGGCAGGAGAATCGCTTGAGCCTGAGGGGCGGAGGCTGCAGTGAGCCAAGATTGCACCATTGCCCTCTAGCCTGGGTGACAGAGCAAGACTCCATTTAAAAAAAAAAAAAAAAAAAAGTACACTGCTAAATAATCCATGGGTCAAAAAAAAGACTCAAGGGAAATTAAAAAAAAATACTTTGAACTTAATGAAAATGAAGCACCACATGTTGAATTATGCAGAATGCAATTTAAAAAGTGGTTAGCAAGAAGCGTACAGTTTTAAGTGCTTTTATTAGAAAAGAAAAAAGTCAGGGCCAGACACAATGGCTCATGCCTATAATTCCAACTCTTTGGGAGGCTGAAGTGAGCAGATGGCTTGAGCCCAGGAATTCGAGACCAGCCTCAGAAACATAGTGAGACACCATCTCTATAAAAAATCCAAAAAAAAAAAAAAAAAGCCAGACATGGTGAGCCCTCATCTGCAGTCCCAGTTACTCAGGTGGCTGAGGTGGGAGGATTACATGAGCTTGGAAGTCAAGACTGCAGTGAGCCATGATCTCACCACTTCACTCCAGCCTGGGCAATGAAGTGAGACCTTGTCTTAAAAAAAAAAAAAAAAAAAGAAAAGAAAGAAAAGAAAAAAGTCAAGCTGAGTGCAGTGGCTTATGTCTGTAATCCTAATACTTTGGAAGGCTGAAGCAGAGGATCACTTGAGCCCAGGAATTTGAGGCCAGCCTGGGCAACATAATGAGACTCCATCTCTACAATCAGTCGATCAATCAATAAATAAAGTTAGCCAGGCATGGTGGTGCAGATCTGTCATCCCAACTACTTGGGAGGCTGAGGTGGGAGGATCACTGGAGCCTGAGAGGTCTAGGTTGCAGTGGGCCATAATCATGTTACTACATGCCAGCCTGGGTGACAGAGTTAGACCTCGTCTTAAAAAAAAAAAATGAGAAACAAAAGAAAAGAGATACAGAAAAACAATAGAAAACATCAAAAAACAAAGCTGGTTATTTAATTTTATGAACTTTAAAGAAGACTGATCCAGAAAAAAAAGACAGAAAACAGAGAAAGCACAAAATAACAATATCAGAAATGAGTGGGATCATATCACTACTGACCTCACAGACATTGAAAGGAAAATAGGAAACTATATGAAAGACTGTATGCTGTGAATTTGAAAACATTGATGGAATAGCCCAATTTCTTTTAAATCATAAATTGCCAAAGCTCACTAAGAAAGAAATAGATAACCTGGAATTATATATACATACACATACAAGTGCTCTTCAATTAATGATGGAAGTTACATCCTAATAAACCATCACAAGTTGAAAATATCCTGTCAAAAATGGGTTTAATACAACTATTTTAGACCATTTTGTACTGCTGTAAAGAAATACCTGAGACTGGGTAATTTATAAAGGAAAAAGGTTTAATTGACTCACAGATCCGCCTGGCTGAGGAGGCCTCAGGAAACTTACAATCATGGCGGGAGGCAAAGGAGAGGTGAGTACCTTCTTCACAAGGTGGCAGGAGAGAGAGAGTGTGAGGAAGTGCCACACTTTAAAACCATCGGTTTTCATGAGAACTTACTATCAGAACAGTGTGGGGGAAACCACCCTCATGATCCACCCTGTTTTCTCTGATACATGAGGATTACAGATTCCTCCCTCGACACGTGGGGATTACAATTTGAGATTAGATTTGCATAGAGATACAAAGCCAAACCATATCAACATCTAACCTAACAAATAGCTATTATTGCTTAGCCTAGCCTATCTTAAATATGCTCAGGAACACTTATATTAGCTTATGGGTGGGCAAAGTCATCTAACACAAAAACTATTTTATAATAAAGTGTTGAATATCACAGGTAATTTATTGAATACTGTTCTGAAAGTGAAAAGCAGAATGGTTGTATGGGTACTCAAACTGCGGTTTCTAATGAATGTGTATCATGTTTCCACTGTCGCGGAGTTGAAAATCACAAACTGACCCATCGTCATTTGAGGACTGTCTGTATTTTATTTATTGCTGGTGTGAGTTCAAAATTATACGGCCATTTTGAAAAGTAGTCTGAGAGTTTCTTACAAAGGCAAACATACACTTGCCATACTACTCAACAATCTCTCATAATATTTACTCAAGAAGACTAAAAGTTATATTCATACAAAAAACATGTACACAGAAGCTTATAGCAGCTTTATTTATATTCATAATTGCCAAAATATTCATATTCATAATTCCCAAAATATGGAAACAACCCAGATATTCTTGAATAGGTGAATGAGTAAACAAGATGTGTGCATTCACACAATGCAATATCAACAATCAAAGAAGAGCTATTGCTCGATGCACAGCATGGATGAATCTTAAATGAGTCTTGATAACTGGAAGAAGACAAATGTAAAAGATTACATACCATGTAATTCGATTTTCATGGCCTTCTGGAAAGAGCTGTAGGTACCTGAAACAGATGAGTGATCATCAGGGGTTGGACTATAAAGGGGCTGCATAGGGAATTTTAGGGTGATGGAACTTTTCCATATGGCACCATATAACTGACACATGACAATGTTTTTTTCAAAATTCATAAGCTCTATACCACAAAACTTTAAATGTATACAAATTTAAAACAATCAACTAGTATGTCATGGGGAACCAAGGTTGTATGGCATAACTGCACTAAATGGGTTGGGAGAAAGTTTGGATTATGCTATTTGGCAATGTACTATAAGTCTATAGACAAAAAAAATTATATTCAAACACTTTAGGTGGTAAATTTGTTTCACACTGAAATATTTGTTAGCAATTCTGAAACAACTTTACATGTAGACTAGATTGAAAATATTAGCAAATATATTGTAGGTAATGAGAGTGATGCTTTTTACTGTCAGACCAAGAAGTTATAATTAACCAGGAGGGAATTTAGAATGAAGCTGCGGTAACATACTGGGTTTAGGTTTATCAGTATGAACTCATATGCACACACACACAGATAAATAGATACAGATTTGTGTGCATGTGTGAGTTAACAAAGAGGAAGGGAAGGAGGGAGGGTGGCAGGAAGGGAAGGTGGGAGAGAGGAAGACAGAGATGATTCTAATTAATAATTGTAGAAGGAATAAGGGAAATAGGAAATTGCCATTAGAACATTTTGACAATAATTACTTCAGGCAAGAACTACTGATGATACTAAAATGAGTGGGTGAGATTTTAAGGGGAAACAGGATATTTGCATAACCTCTAAGTATCTTCTCCAAAATGCTCATCAATTGTGGTGATTTCAATATATGCTAAGAATTTAAGAAATTATTTGCAACTCCTCCACCCTCCTAGAAGGTAGGATTAATTCCTCACTTCTTGAGTGGGGCTGAACTTAGTAGCTCTAATGAACAGAGTACAGAAAGGGGACAACAGTTACATGACAGTGGAGGAATCCGGCCGACCAGCCTCAGCCACGTGATCCAAGCAAACATCACAGTAATAACCCAAGTCAGCATTGTGCACCCGTGACGTGACATGATGAGAAGGACACATTCATCTCTGTGATCTCCTTCCCAAATCCATAACCCTGGTCTAAATCATCAGTAAACACCAGGCAAATCAAAATTAGGAACACTCTACAACATACCTGACCAGTACTCTTCAACAATGCCACAGCCATGACAGATAAGGACAGGCCAAGTTTCTACCACAGAAAGAAGGAAGCTAAGGTGACTTGAAAACGAATGCAATGGGGGACCCTAGTTTAAATACTAGGGACATTAGTGGAAAAAAATTACTGAAATTAGAATAAAGCCTGCAATGCAATTATTAACGTTTTACCAATAATCATTTCTTGATTTTGATAAATATTGCGTGGCAACCATGGTAATGTGAGATGTTAACTATAGAGGAAGCTGGATGACAGGTATGTGGAGACTTTCCATACTTTCTTTGCAACTTTTCTGTACATCTAAAATGATCTCAGAATAAAAATATTTTGAAGTATTTTGCAAATTTTGTAGGTAAAATAAGGAAAGTATTGTTCTTAAAATTGTTATATATTTGGAAAGTTTTTATATGTTTGCTGTTGAATTCCTACTTTTGTAAAACATTTGCTCCTACCAGCATTTTTCTTATCTATCCACTTACTACTTGTGATTGAGATGAGGTTATGTTAAGGATGAGAGAACACAGACCCAGGAATGAGAAGATTCCAGTCCTAGCTCTGTCACTTAAATGACTGTAAGATTTTGGTCGGAGTACTTGATTGCTCAGACTGTTTCCTAATCTGTTAAGTGAAAAGAGCCACTTCTAGCTCATCAGATAATTATGGATACCAAACTTAAGAACTACATTTTTAATATCAAAGTATCTTAATTATATTTACATTAAATACTTTAAATTTTATATTAAATTTATAGTTTCTTATATTGTAGTTTAAATTTATATTAAAATATATTAAAATTTATATTAAAATATGTGAAATATTATAATGTAAAGCCCACTGCTAATGACATAGGTTATAGAATTTGGAAATGCATACCATAGGATATAAGCCTGGCTTACAGAATAGGGAACAATGTTTTCCAAGTATACTCCCTGGAGGTTCCGTGGCCCACAGTGGCCACCAGGAGCTTCTAGTGCACAATGGGATGCAATCACCCTTTGGAATATTCCCAAGTACACTGGTGCGCTAAATGCTCTTCAAATTCCACTGGAGACAAGCCTACTTAATATTACTTAATCCAGCATTCTCTCAAACTCCTGATCTCTAGTGATCCACCTGTCTTGGCCTCCCAAAGTGCTGGGATTACAGGTATGAGACACCGCGCCCAGCTTAAGCCAGCATTCTCTAAACTTTGTGGACTAGGATACTTCATTAGCATCTCCTGGCCATACAGTTCTAAAGCCTTGGTCAGTCTGCAAGAGAGAAGAGGCAGAGCATGAAGGAATGACAGCAGATGTGTGTAGGGGGAACTGGAAAGCCGTTTCTTGGAAGTGGAGGTTATGTAATTACTTTGGCAGAAGTTAAGTTTGGTTAAAAAAAAAATCATAGAGGAAGAAGTTACCTCTGGACTGAGAAAGACTTCAGACACCAACTCATGACCTTACAGGGAGGCACCAATAAGAAGATGCAGTGGGCAAAACCACAACAATTCTGCATAAATTCCTTGACATCTCCAAGTTCTACATGTATTCTTATTCCTAGCAATGCCTCCTCTCCCCTGCCTTAACTAACACTCTCTGGGGCATATTATTTTTTAGAGCTTAACTCTATATTTCTGCTTTCTCCCAAATGCAAGTCGCATCTTCCATGATGTCTCTCCCAACAGATTCATCAGCAGAAACTATTTTTTATTTTATAGGTTTGTTTGTGTCTGATGTATTTGATAGTTCCAGGAAAATCTAGTTGTTTTCAAATCGATGAACTTTTGTGTAAATGTTCCCTTGAGCACCAAAGCTCTTTTTATGTTCTTTTTTTTTTTTTTAAAAAAAAGGCTCACTTGCTAATATCAGTCTGGAAATGTAGCATTTTTAAGATCTATGTTGTTTTTGGGAAACGGTAGACTGCATAACATTGAGCGTAAGTAGATTAACTGTACTAGGTAAATTTCTGGGAAACAGACCACCGGAATTGTCTATGAAGCAAGAAGCTTGATTTAATATTTATCATATCAGAATAACCAAATGTTAGAAGAAAATAAAAACTTTTAATTTCCCAGTGATTTGAAGGTGAGAATTTAAAATCATGTAAATTAATATTTTATACACACTTTATCTTTTTCATCAGGATATTTCACCTGACTCTTCCTGTATTAGGGCAGGTGTGAGCTATGTATCAACTGGCGAGTGAACAGTCTCCCAACAAGTACACAACTAGCTTGAGTGTTGAGTGTGATTGCACAGGCTTCATGACCAGAGACCCCTGCCCTGGGAGTTCACACACCCATTAAGAAGCCCAGTGTACTTGTGAAAGTTCGTGGCTAGGTCAGAGCATCTGAATTTAAGTCAAGGCTCTGCATCCTCAAGTGTCAGGCATGGGGTCATTTCTTAGCCTTTCTGAGCCTCAGCTTCCATGTCTGTACAATAGAAATAACTGCCCATATCTCACTGGGTTGTTGTGAGGGCTGGGAGGAAAATGAAGTATTTGGTAAACTAAACTGCAAAGCCTCTGATCCTCATTTCTGAAGAATGACCACTTTCTATAACTATCCTTACTTTGTTTGGAGCCAAGGGGTAAATTTCTTTACTTCTGGAAAGGTAGAAAAGGAGAACTGGGCCAAGCACTCTCCACTGGGATAGGGGCTGGGATTTGGGTTGAGGGAGGGAATTCTTGGGAGGGTTTAGGTAACTGGAAGGTGCTGAGGAGAGCTGTCAGGTAACGGCATCAGGGGGAATGTGCCTTAGAATCTGAGAAAGCTTGAGCCCCAGAGGTCTAGTGAAGACATGTCTGGCCTCAAAACATCACACTCGGAAATTTCTCTAAAGATGACAGGAGCTATGGTGGAGCTGGATGTTGAATATTTGTCCCTTGGGGGAGGACAGGATTGTGTGACAGCGGATTACTGAGCCACTTATCAAGTTGCAGACCTGGAAAACTGTCACTTGCAAAGTTTCCTTCCAAGATCCTGAGAGGGGTCCTAGCAATGTATACATTTATTTATACATTTCCTGATTTTGCAAAATTTTCAGAAGTTATCTATTTTGACTGCATTTGATCAGGGATACATTCTCCTTCAGTCCTGAGGCTCCTCCTGCAGACTCTGTAGAGTCAGTTGCACTGCTAGGACTGAGGACTTTTGGGGGTCTGAGTGGAGAGGGGAGGAGATACGTATCAACTCAGTTTACTGGGATAGCTGTGTGATTCTCAGTCACTGCCACATACAACTAGATTACTTCTAGTTAACCCAAAGTAGGAATGGCTCTTCTGAATCTACCTAGTACCCTCAGAGCCTCTCACCAGGTGTCTGTACCCAAAAATCAAAGCTGGAAGTCACACAGTGACATGACTATTTCTAAGGTGCCTCACTGACATCCATACCAAATAGAAAATAGAGGTGTGAAATGTCCAGAGCAGAAGCAGGAAGCGTGTCTGGCACACAAGCTTTGCTTTCTGGACAGTGGACATAAAGCTTTGTGCTCCGTTGAATACAAGTTCTCCCCTTCTGAGGAAAAGACTCACTTGCACAGTGGATACGAATATAAACACACACTTCTTATTTTCTTTTTAATGAGAGCCTCATGCTTCTCGATTGTAGTGTCCAAACCAGCAGCGTTACCTCCACCAGGTAGGTCTGTGTGTTAGGCCAGGGTTTCATGCAACCTAATACATCAAAATGTGCCTCAAATACCTGACAAGTCTTATTTGAATGAAGTCTAGCATTTCCAGGTGGGACCACAGGCAAAGCTGCCCCCAAAACATCAGTCCAAGAAAGCCTGAGAAGCCAGGGCACCAGCAACAAACTCCTACCCAAGCTGTGACAAGTCAAGATGTCCAGGATAAGAGTAATTTCTTTCTTTCTTTTCTTCTTCTTATTTCTTCTTTGTTTTTCTTTTTTTTTTTTTTTTTTTTTCAGACAGGTCTTTCTCTGTCACCCAGGCTTGAGTGCAGTGGCAGAATCAAAAACTCACTTCAGCTTCAGTCTCCTGGGCTCAAACGATCTTCCCACCTCAAACTCTGGAGCAGCTGGGACTACAGGCATGTACCACCACATCTGGCTTTTCTTTTTTTTTTTAATAGAGACAAGGTCTTGCTATGGTGCCCAGGCTGGTTTCGAACTCCTGAGCTCAAGCAATACTCCAACCTCAGCCTCCGAAAGTGCTGGGATTACAGCCTGCCCCCAACCTAATAATAATTCCATAATACAATTATGTAGTGCAAAACAGCATAGTAGCATATAATGATATGGTTTAATTGTTAATATACTGAGACTGGTTTCTTTTATTTTAAACATTATTGATTACGCAAAAATTCAAATATGATTGGAGGTATTCTTACTAAAGGAAAATGAGCTGAAAGAAGCATTTATGGTATTTGTCAGGTTTTTAAAATTTGTTGTGATTTCTTACCTCATTCTAAATAAATACTCTAGCCTGCACCTAATTCTAAGTTTGCAGTTTTGTTTTTGTAATTGTCTAATTTTTTTTATGTGAATACATTTGTTTATTTATTTATTTATTATTATTATACTTTAAGTTTTAGGGTACATGTGCACAATGTGAAGGTTAGTTACATATGTATACATGTGCCATAGGATTTTTCTGAATTGCACAAGCTTCAGGCCCCACAAAACCTGATCAGCCCATAGGCTCCTAAAGGCAGGGGCAGGCTCAAGTCCGCATAGTAAGTCTGGTTCAATTAAAAACTGGGCAAAAGCTGACATGAAAAATTTGGGCTGAGAAACCAGGAGTTAGAACTCTAGTGCCTGGACAGAGCACTGCGTGGAAGAAACCTGGAGGCAGGTCATGAGGCAGAGCGCCACAACCCCAGCCAGCTGAGCGCGGTTGGCTCACTCTGACCATCCTCCCAGATTACTGCGAACTCCTCTGAGAACCCAGAGGGAGAGGGGTCCTGAATAGGTGTGCCTGCAAGTGGGGAAATCTGCAAGCAGCTCGGGGAGGGCACCTGCATTAGTCTGCTGGGGCTGCCTTCACAAAATACTACTGCCTGGGTTGCTTAAACAACAGAAACTAGTTCTCACAGTTCTGGAGCCTGGAAGTCCAAGATCAAGGTGTCAGCAGGGTTGGTTTCTCCTGAGGTTTCTTTTCTTGGCCTGGCCCCATCTCCCTGGGCTCAGGGTCATCTCTCAGGACGGCCAGGAAGCAGGAAACCCGCTGACTGGACTAACATTTTAACAGGAGCATGAGTCTCTGGTTCAGGTAAGGAGCCGGCTGCCATAACCACCTGAATGTGTTTCTGTAATGATCTGTCTCCCCTTTGCAAATTTCTTAGTGCTTGCTTCATCGTGACCTTCATTCTGCTCTGCTCCCACCTTGCTGCAGAAAGCCCTGGAGTACAAGCCCATGCAGGGATCCGTGGATCCCAGACCCAGCTTCACAGAATTCACTGGGTCCCAGGAAAATGAAGAAACTTGGTCTCCTAGAGGACCACAGCTGGGGACAGACATGGGCAGCTCCCTAGCTGGACAGACAGGGATATGGGGGCCTGTTAAACTCGCCCAGTGCAAAGGTGGCTGAAGAGGGCCTGTACTAGTTAGCAAAGTGTTCACCCAACAGCCAGAGTAAAAAATCATTTAATCCACAAGATATTCCTTTCAGCAGGCAAAAGCAGGCCAAAATTAGTTCCAGCCCTATGTTTGTTCCCACATGACAAAGCTTTAAAGTAAGCTCTGAAAGAATCAGACTGTCTCGGTTAATTTACTACCTCCTGGGACAAGCTTCAAAAATCATTACAGCAACAAAACATACTCAGCATTCAGCACCCCACAATGTAAAACTCACAATGATTCCATATCTAATAAAAACTTACCGGCCAGGAGTGGTGGCTCACGTCTGTAATCCCAGCACTTTGGGAAGACTGTGGGTGGATCACCTGAAGTCAGGAGTTCAAGACCAGCCTGGCCAACATGGTGAAACCCCATCTCTACTAAAAAAAAAAAAAAAAGTGCAAAATTCAGTGGGTGTGGTGGCATATACCTGTAGTCGCAGCTACTTGAAAGGCTGAGACAGGAGAACTGCTTGAACCCAGGAGGTGGAGGCTGTAGTGAGCCAAGAATGCACCACTGCACTCCAGCCTGGGTAAGACAGAGTGAGACTCTTTCTCAAAAACAAAAACAAAAACAAACAAACAAAAAACAACAACAAAAAAACACTTACCAAGTATGTAAAGTTTATGTATTACCCAGTGTATGTGCATTTTGTTAAAAATGCTTGTCTTAAAAATATTCTAAACACTCTTTTTAAGGCTAGTTCTCTGCAGATCTTCTTCACTCCCAGGAGAGGCTGGGGGTAAGAAAGGATGAGAGGAAGGGAGGGGAGGGCCAAGAATTTTAGCCCCAGGTCCAAGCTAGACTAAACAAAAATAGACTTTCCTTAATTTGCCTCCAGTCTATGCCCTGTTATCCATAAATAAAGACAATAAATTAACTAAAGGAAAAAGTCAGAAGTGTCATCAAGGGAGTCCCATGTAATCAGACATGAATGGGGTCAATTTCCCTGGGCAAAACCCTGTGACCCAAAAGTTTGGAAAATTGTTGAGAAACTGCATGACTTTTTATTTCAGAATGTTCTTTTTTCATCTTATAATTACTTAAAATAGGTCAATCCCTTGACATTGATTAAAGATGGTAGGTTTCAGCATCCTTGGTGGGCAGATGCACATGATGGCCTAATGTTGGAGCACACTGTCCTGCAGCACACTCTGTCCAGGCCATGCTGGGTTGGTGCTTTATGGACATTCTGGTGTTTGAAATATCCGAAGCTCAGTATTTTCAACATTTCATCAACATTTTAATGCTAGCTTATAAAGTTTCACATCGACTCACTTTTTACAATGGAGAAACATTATTTTGGATGCAAATTTGAAATTAAATAACTTGATAGTGCTGTGATTACCAGCAGAGGCTATGCTCCTCATGGCCTGGATTCTGGTCTCAACTAGAAGCTCACCTATTTGTGACAGTAGCCAAGTTGCTAGGGCTCAGTGTTGTCACTTCTAAAATCGGGGAAATAATAGTAATTATCTCATAGGCCTGCTGTAAGAATTCAATATTTTAATATTTTTAAATTGCCTAGGACAGTACCTAAGATATAATAAGTCCTAAATAATGTTTGTTTCAAAGAAAGTAAACTGGAATAATTATTTAAATAGTCTGTAGAATGACTTAAATAAATGTATAATTGTTACAAAATAGCTTTCTCATAGGTTAATTACGTAGAAAACTAGTATGCAAGTTTTCCCACCTTCATTCTAAATAATACCAGTAATTTATTCAAATAATACCAGTAATTTTCAACACTTGATTGAATAGTCATACCAAAAAAAATGTCTAGGAGTTAAAAATAAATGTGCAAAACCTATCAATACAAATGTAGCCTGGTTCCAGTGAAAAGTTTAATGTTCTTCAAGGAGAGGTGCCACATCATGAAAAGGCCAATTCTATCTAGCTTAATTGTCATATTTAACGCACTCTCAGTGACAACCACCACAACTACCACCACAAAAAATGAGCAGCACACTTTAAACTTCACTAAGCAAAAGTAATCCAGAAGAGTTAGAATCCTGAAAAGCAGGAGAGAGCTATACAGAAGTACCAGGCTTACTAGGTAGTCAAAAATGCTGTAAAGATGGTAATTTAAATAGATTAATGTTCACATATGAAAAGACCTACAAAATAGTGGAACTGAAGTCTAGAAATAGATACATATGAAAATGTATTATGTGGTAAAATCAGTATATCAGATCTGTGAGGGCAAATACTGACTTCTTACATGTGGGTACTGCAGCCAACAGCATGCAGGAGACAGGTCAGCAGGACAGCCTCTCACTTGCCCAGAGCCAATAGAACACCTGCAAATGGAAGTTGTACTAGGTGTACAAGGGTTCATGCCTGCCTTGTCTTCTAGTCCACAGGATTTTTGTACCTGGAGGGGCTGCCAAGCCTCCATATCTAAGGTAGACCTCCCCAAATATCCTCCTTGAGACCATTCTCCAGGCCCAGGGGGCCACACTGGCAGCCAAGCACTGTGACATGGGGAGCTGACTCAGTGGGTACCATGCACTTTCCTGTAAAAGGCCCAGATAGACTCGGGACCACTCAGGCAGGGAACTCTAAGGCCCTCTGATCTTGGAATGTGGTCGTCTAGGCTCCGGGGCAGCACACAGCTTCGGTCCAGAGTCAAAGCCAGAGTCCTGGCTTTGAGGCGGCAACATGTCCGGGCCATGTTCATGCTTAATATTCCTTCTGTGGGTGCTCTTAGTGGAAGAAACATCTATCATGTAGTTGAACTTGTTCTCTGATGAAGAGAACTTGATGGAGCTAAACATCTTGGAAAAATGGTTCCAAGATTCCGGATACAGGTATTGGGTGCTAGAGTCAACTTTCTAGGAATAACACTATTGTGGCCTTTTGGTTATACAAAAGCCAGATGCAGACCATTCTGGAAAACAGAGAGCTTGAGGCCATATGATTCTAGGATCTAAGCTGTTCTCACAACAGTGGAATAATGCAACACTGATTTTCTTTAAAATCAGAGTCGTAGCTCTGCAGTCTGTTTCCCTTCAGAAATTGTTGCGTTTGAAAATGTTTTCTCACTGGAAAGTCCCCGAAAAGCATTTCTCCCAGGATATTTTTCAGCAGGTGTCTCAGTCCATTCAGGCTGCCATAGCAAAATACCAAAGATTGGGTGGCTTAAATGACAGATGTTTGCTCCCCACAGTTTGGGAGGCTGGAAGTCCTTGGTAATGTGCCAGCATGGTCGGGTTTTTGGTGAGGGCTCTTGTCCTGGTTTGCACATGACCACCTGCATGCCTTGTCCTCACATGGCAGAAAGAGAGAGAGAGAGGGAGAGAGAGCACACTCTGGCTTCTCTTCCTCTTCTTATAAGGCCACTAATCCCATCACTGAGGCTCCACCTCATGACCTCCTCTATGCCAATCGTCTCCCAAAGTCCCCACCTCCACAGTCCCACACATCATGGGCTAGGCCTTCAACAGATTATTTGTCAGTGGACTCAAGCATCCAGTGCATAGCAGCAGGCATGCTGAATGTGTGTACATGCCCGAGTACACAGGAGACTGGGAGCAGGAACAAGAAGGCAGGATGGAGGGGAAAACTTCTCTATCAAACCTCACATGAGGAATATGCTGGTGCACTGTGAATGCATCTGTGCTATTGCACTGGGAAGGCTGAAACGAGAACACTGCCCCTCCCCCCTGCCATTGTGTGGAGCTTGGAAGACCGTCTGAGGGGGAAAGAATCTAACAAGGAGAGTACTGCTTTCTTTCTGTGGACCTCAGGTTTTTAGGGTTCTGTATTTTGAGTAGAGGGAGACAGATTTTCAGGCTTTTCTTTAGGGGAAGGAAAACTGGTTCCTGTTCCCCCAAGCAGGTCAGATTCTGGGCTTAGAAGTGTTCCCTAGGGGCCGGTGGGTGGGGTGGCTCACGCCTGTAATCCCAGCAATTTGAGAGGCTGAGGTGGGAGGATCACAAGGTCAGGAGTTCTAGACCAGCCGGGCCAATATGGTGAAACCCTGTCTCTACTAAAAATACAAAAATTAGCCAGGCGTGATGATGGGCACCTGTAGTCCCAGCTACTCAGGAGGCTAAGGCAGGAGAATCGCTTGAACTGGGGAGGCGGAGGTTGCAGTGAGCTGAGATCTTGCTATTGCACCCCAGCCTGGGCAACAGAGTGTGTCTCCATCTCAAAAAAAAACAAAAAATAAAAAATAAAAAGTGTTCCATAGGAGAACGCTGTGGTGCTGAAAGGGATAGTGTCTGATCTTGGCTTCTCAGCTAGAATTTCCCTCCCAAATCCTTACTGAGTGTGGCCACATGTTACCACCTGTCCTCTCTAATGAAACGTGCTGCACCACTTCCATGGGGACGGCAGTAGGAGAAGGCAACAGTGTCCTAGGTTAGCAAGGAGCCATGTGTAGAGTATCATCTGGATCCCAAGAAAGCCACAGCAAAATGTCTGAACACTCAATGCCAAATCCCCAAGCCCTAAATTCCAGATTCCATTTATCAAATGAGGAGAAATCCTTCATTTTTATCTTTACCACATTGACTTTTGTTTACAGGAGTCATCTAACTGGCTTGGAACACTGGAGAAACATTTGGTTAATATATAAATTCTCAACAACTCTCAGGGAAGAAAGTGAGCAAAAGAAGGTCTTTCCTCAAATGTCTGGCTCTTCAAAGTCTTCGTGCTTCGAAGGACTTGGACAGAAATGTGGAAAAAGGACAAATCTGAGATGTTCTATTTATGCAATTGTCAGAGGCTTTCAATATTCAGACTTCCTTATGATTACACATGATCTAACTCAATAATGAATTATTTAGAGCCCTGAATGTTAGCAGAAAGATTTCATGTTTTTGTAACTTAAGAAATGAGGAGAGCCATTGAATATTATTGTGCAAAGAGTTATGCAAAAAGATCGTTGAGTTAAAGTACAAATACAGGAAAAATTAAAGGTGGGAAGCCCTAAGAAATTTAGAGTGACGTAGGTTTAGACTAAGCTATATTCAGGGAGAAAGAAAAGCAATGTTGAATTGGCATGTGTGAGTGAAGAACTGACAACCTTAACTGAATGGGTGCATTTTAAAAGAGAAAAAGAGAGAGCGATTGAGATCTGGGATTTGAGATTTGCTACAGGCTTAGCTATATTGTAGGTGGTCAATAAATATATGTGCAATGAATAAAATAGTGAAAATAAATGTACCTCTGTAAGCAACATCTTGGAAATGAGGAGGCCATACTGAATGAGGGGCAAAATACCTGTGTCTTTTATAAGTGTGTACAGGAATCTAGACAATTAGCATTATTGAATTATATGACTTGGGTTTGAATTTTGCTGGTCCTTTTATGAGTTGTGAAAGATAAGACAAGCTATTTAATCTTAAGTTTCTGTCCATCTTCTGTGAAACTAGTAATGGCACCTGCCTTACAGATTATGAGGATTCAGTGGCCTGATAATGTGTACAGGGATTGCCATGTGTCTCAAAAATATTCTTATCCTTCTTGTCATCAACCCTCTCATTGTCATTGGCCTTACTACCATTAGGCACCACTCTGGTCACCCCTTCACTCTTCAGTTCACCCCTTAACTCTTCAGTTCACCCCTTGTTGAGAATTCAATCCAGAAAAAGATATTACTAACCCAGACATGAATATTTCCATCTGGCCCTCACTTTTAAACACTGAAATAAGCATGCAATTGAAAAAAAAATTGTTTGAAGTATTTTAAGAAGAATAAATAATAACACCTACAGAAAATTTGTCTAGATGGGAATTTAATTCATCTAAGATCAACTCAGAAAGCAAATTCTTCCACTTGTTTTTGGTCTTACCATTTCCAAGTCATTCTAGCTGAAGCTTTTGATGCTAAAACCCACATCAAAGCAGACACAAGAAAGCAGAGGCCCGCAGAAAATAGGAGCAGCTCCGGGTCATCTCTTTCCAGGGCTGACAGCCCAACTTGTTCACATTCACAGCATATTTCTTAGAGCAGACACCCAATTAGAATATGGAGCCCAGACAATGGAAAATGTAATAATTTTGCACTCCCTGTCATTGCTTAAGGGTTGCAAGACTGTCTATGGGTTCCTCAAATATATCCTGAGATCACTGTGTAGGGGGAACTCTCTCTCCAGGGGCTCTGTGAGAAAAGGCCTCTTCAAAAGAGAAATCAACACTTTCAGGCCCGAAATAAACTTATGATCACATTCACTCCAATTACAATGCAAGCTGATAAATAGAATTCCTTTGTTAAAAATGGGTACAGAGGCTGGGCACAGTGGCTCATGCCTGTAATCCCAGCACTTTGGGAGGCCAAGGTGGGCGGATCATGAGGTCAGGAGATCGAGACCATCCTGGCTAACATGGTGAAACCCCGTCTCTACTAAAAATACAAAAAAATTAGCCGGGCATGGTGGCGGGCACCTGTAGTCCCAGCTACTTGGGAGGCTGAGGCAGGAGAATGGCGTGAACCAGGGAGGTGGAGCTTGCAGTGAGCCGAGATCGTGCCACTGCAATCCAGCCTGGGCAACAGAGCAAGATTCTGTCTCAAAAAAAAAAAAAAATGGGTACAGAGATGTTTCTGTATAAGTATAATTACCTCATTTTATATTAAAGGATGCAAAAAAGAAATAATCTATACTTTAAGTCACAAAGCTTTGCAAATTGCATACCTACCACTACATGAAGTATCCTCCAAGCATGTTGGCTGCCTGGGCTTAGACTGCACAGACCCTGACATGAAATAGCCAAGGTCAGGGTGCATTAGAGGTGAAAGATCCTTAGCTTCCTGCTTTTGGTTTACTTTTAGTGCCACACAAATGAACTTCGAGGCTGATGGAGTCTTAAAAGGCCTGTAGAAGAAACAAGAACTTTAAGAAATGTCATCACTTTTATACACAATGGAAGAATAATAATATAATTAATAAAACCAAATTACTATAAAATCAGAAAGGCTCCCTGGGCTTATGCTACCATTGACAGATTTGCTCACTCATTCAAAGATTCATTCATTAAAAATTGTTCCCAGCAGCTGATTACATGAATGTCGATGGGCTCTAAAGACACAGAGATAAGCACAACAAACACCAGATCATTTGCACTACCTGGGGGTATGCATGAATATATCAGTATATGGTTTATTGCATGCCATGTGAGTGCAAATAGGGGAGAGTGGTTATTTTTCCTCCATCAGTGGGTGACATGAGGTGCCTTTGGAAAGAGTCTGTGGCCCCATACACAGGCAGAAGGAAGCCCCTGCTCCCCACTCCTTTGCATCATGAGATTCTGAACCACAGGCTGTGGTTGGTGGACTTGATTATTAGAGAACTCTTTGTAATTATGAATGCTGCAAATATTTTCTTGGCTTGCCACGTGATTTTTGGCTTAATTTATGTTGTGCTCCAGCTAAGGTGCTTTCCTCATGGATTGAACCCTGGATGTTCTGATGCTTGCTGTGATAACAGAGAGAAGAAGTGAGGCAGGTTTCTGAACTATTTCACCCAGAGCTACCTTCTTCAATGTGAAGTCAACAGCTACATGAGCCCAGATTGAGAAGTGCTGTAAGTGTGAACCATAAACCAGATTTTAATGATATGGCACAAAAAGAATAAAATATTTCAATATTTTAATACTGATTACATGTTGAAATTATATATTGGATATATTGAATTAAAATTTTATGAGAAACTTTTTTTCTTTTGTCATCTTTTTAAAAATAGGGCTAATAAAAATTTACATTTCCATTTAGAATTCTATACTTTGTGTTTCCACTGGTCGCTGAGCTAGAGACTGAGTCTGTCACCATAAATCAAAAGGCTTTTGTATCTGGGCTCTATCACAGAAAAGATTATGCTTGTTCTATCCTAAGTCCCACTCTTCCTTATAGTATTGAATTTCTCTATACACAAGCATGGTAAACTTCAGGTTTTCTTGATGTCTCTCAATAAAGCACATAACCATCACTTATTGTTTATTCTCAGTAATGTATAAATGTCTTTTTTCTTTATCTTTTATTAGATTCTCAGGTTGTTTTTTGCTTCTTAAGAAATAATGCATTCCATCTCTATTATTCTAGTGGTGGCCCCCTTATAAATTCTAAGTTAGTCTATTATATTTATTCTATAATTAAAGCATGCATATAGTAAACTTCCAAAACAATAAACAAGATTAATATAAAGTGTAAATTTACCTACCTTCACTTATCCCCACTTCCTAAGGGCAGCGACAATTTTCGTAGTCTTCTAGACACTAACCTTAAATTTCTAATAAAATTTTTCTTTTTCTGTAAAAAGTATATATATATATATATATATATATATATATATATATATATATACATATATATATAAACCAATAATCATGTTTTCCTAAGAGATTGATGAGGTAGGTAAGTATTGAGATAAAGTTCCAGTTCTGCCATATTGGGGGAAACCAGCCTCTGATATTCAACGTGGGCTTAGGGATTTTCTATTTTCCCTAAGTGTCAGCCGGTCTGAGAAATAAAGGGAAAGAGTACAAAAGAGAGAAATTTTAAAGCTGGGTGTCCGGGGGAGACATCACATGTCAGCAGGTTCCGTGATGCCCCCCAAGCCACAAAACCAGCAAGTTTTTACTAGTGATTTTCAAAAGGGGAGGGAGTGTACGAATAGGGTGTGGGTCACAGAGATCACATGCTTCACAAAGTAATAAAATATCACAAGGCAAATGGAGGCAGGGCGAGATCACAGGACCGGGGCAAAATTAAAATTGCTAATGAAGTTTCAGGCACACATTGTCATTGATAACATCTTATCAGGAGACGGGGTTTGAGAGCAGACAACCAGTCTGACCAAAATTTATTAGGCAGGAATTTCCTTGTCCTAATAAGCCTGGGAGCGCTACGGGAGACCGGGGCTTATTTCATCCCTTATCTACAAACGTAAAAGACAGATGTTCCTGAAGCGGCCATTTTAGAGACCTCCCCTTGGGAAAGCATTCTCTTTCTCAGGGATGTTCCTTGCTGAGAAAAAGAATTCAGCGATATTTCTGCTATTTGCTTTTGAAAGAAGAGAAATATGGCTCTGTTCCACCCAGCCCACAGGCAGCCAGAGTTTAAGGTTATCTCCCTTGTTCCCTGAAATGGCTGTTATCCTGTTCTTTTTTCAAGGTAGCCAGATTTCATATTGTTTAAATAATTTGTGCAGTTAACACAATCATAACAGGGTCCTGAGGTGACATTCATCCTCAGCTTATGAAGATGATGGGATTAAGAGATTAAAGTAAAGACAGGCATAGGAAATCACAGGAGTATTGACTGGGAAAGTGATAAGTGTCCATGAAATCTTCACAATTTATGTTCAGAGATTGTAGTAAAGACAGGTGTAAGAAATTATAAAAGTATTAATTTGGGGAACTAGTAAATGTCCATGAAATCTTCACAATTTATGTTCTTCTGCCATGGCTTCAGCCAGTCCCTCCGTTCGGGGTCCCTGACTTCCCGCAACACTGCCATCAGCTACTGTACATCTTGGAGTAGGTCACTTCACTCTTTGAGCATCAAATTTTCAGTTTCTAAAATAAAAAGATGGCACCACCCTCACAACTGACATGTCTAATCATGAGACCATCATAATAAGCTAAGGCAGCTTCAGGTACCTACTATGAGTCCAGGGAATGGAGGAGAGTAGGAAATTCCCTGTTTCCATCTCCCAGCACCCCCACTATACTGGTCTCCAAGGCAGCATAGATTCCAGTACCTTCCACACCCTGTGGCCATGGTGACCTTTTGCCTCAGGCCCTGAGTGGCCAGGCTGCAGAGGCAGCCTGCTAGGAGCCCTCAGGCCAGCATCCCTCCCAGACAGGTCTGCCCATCCCAGAGCTGGTCTTGCTCCTTCTACTTTGTGGTTCACACCAGCACCAGCCTTGAGATCTCTACTGAGCCTTTCAGTTCACTGAAACGTCACTGTTTTATACTGTGTGTCTGGTAGGGTCAGGGTGGGGAATTGAGGGCTTCTAAGGAGGTGTGAACCTCAATTGCACCAGACAATTTCAACTCTCCTCTCTACCTGACCTCATTGGAAGCCCCTTCCTCCAGCCTCCTGAATGTTGACCCCTTTCTCAAGACAGCTCAAATAAGTCCTCCCTTCTCAGAGGCTTTTCTTACCAACCCTGGGGACACCTGACACCTGTCCAGTGCCCTGTCTCCATTGTATTCAAAACCCAGGGGAACTGACGTAGCCCTCTTTGCTCAGACTGTCTCTCTCTCATTTCTCCATCCTCAGGACCTGACAGACCACCTGGCATCACCAGATGCCCAACACCACTTGTGGGATGAGTGTTCAATGGAGATTAGGATCAAGAACACACACAGACATGGCTTCTGCCCCTGTGCAGCTTTTCATCTGCACAAGACAGACATAAATCCAATTCCCACTAGCTCTTATAACAACAAAGTCCCACAAAGGAAAAGTGCAGATTTGTCATGAAAACATTCAACAGAGGGGCCTGATCCAGTCTGGAAGGTTATGGAGGCTTCCTTTTAAGTCCAGATTCAAGGAATGAGTAGGCACTAAGTGGAGGGTGAGGCTGGGGAACAGAGTGGCAAGTGCCCTGGCAAATATTTGTGCAAGATGAGGGGATGTTGACACACTGTGTCCAAGCAACTAAAAAAAAAGCTAAATAACTTAGGTGTGCTCAATCTAAACATGAATGTTTATCTCCTTATGAAAGAAAGAAATGCATCCACACATACTCAGATGTGAAGTTAGAATATTTTGTGGTCTCTTTTCATGGGATGTGCCAGGGTGGGGGTGGGTGATGTCACACGTGATATATTAAGGGGGAGAATTTATATTCCATGTTTAAGCTAAACTTGCCAGTGACTTTGATGTCTTCAAATGTTTACAAAAGTTTAACTTAGAAAAAAAAACCTTAGTTTTTTTTTAACAATAAGAGAAATGAGCTTTTAAATTTATTTTCTAAGAGTGTTTTACTTAGGAAAATAAATGTTAAAAGAATGCTTCAGTTCCTTAAGCATCTGTCATAATATTTAGGTAGCATTAAAAAAAAAAGGCAGAATGGCATGGATTTCAACGGAAGTTTTAAAAAATTAAAATGAAGGAATTTTTGGAATCTATTTTATTTTAAAATCTATTCTTTATAAAACAGCTTTATGGAAAAAATGAATTAATTCAAATTTTCCTATATTTTAGTATAAGTTGTCTGAACATAATTACAAAGGCAGAACTATTTTTGCTATATCTCTAATCAGTCAAAAAATTTCTTTTTCTCTAAAAGGATTAAAAGGTAGGTTAATATGCTGTTTAAATTTATGTTTAGAAAGGCTTAAGAAGGGAACCAAGGTGTTCAGAGAGACCGATGAGGTAGGTAATGAGACCATGGAATTAGGTGACGGAAACAGGAGAAGCCGCATATGCCCCTCTGCATGTGTGTGTGTAAGTGTGTGTGTGTACATGTGTGTGCATGTGTGTGTGTAGAAATAAAAAGTACAATTTTTTGACATGATAAATTTGAGGTGCTAATGACAATTTGATGATATTCAAAATATAGGTTTGAAACTATGGACATTTGCTAGAGCTGTACATTGAGGAGTCACCTGCACAGTGGTGTCTGAGGAAGGTGCAATTGTAACTGAACTAGCCCACAGGTAGGAAGAATGAAAGAAGAAGAGAAGCAAGAACAGAATCTTGGAAATTTGAAGTTATCCTCCCCAGAATAATTATCTAAAAGCAACATAAGGTGCTCCAATAGGTCTTATATTTAGACATTATTTTCAATCTGTAAACTCAATAAGTCCTCAATATTTAAGGTAATGGTCATTAAAAAAAAAAAGAAACCTAACAAACTGTATCTCAACCAGTTGATCAAGGCCAACATCAACAGTAATAAATCATGTTGATAGTATGTGTCCTTGGAATTATGGCATGAGAATGTCACTTAATCTCTGTGGTCTTCCTTCTGATAATCCTTAATCCCAGTCTAATCATGAGAAAAAATCAGACAAATCCCAATGGAGGGACATTCTAGAAAATACCTGACCATACTCCCCACAAATGCCAAGTTCATCAAAGACATGGAAGATCTGAGAAACTGTCACAGCCAAAGATAGACTAAAGAAACATGCTGTCTAAATGTAATGTGGATGAGATCTTGGACTAGAAAAAAGACATTAGAAAAAAATACAGAAATCTGGATAAAGTATGGATTTTAGTTAATAATAATGATATATACATATTAGTTTACTAAACACATTAGAGAGATGTCCAAGGTTTTTTAAAGTTAAAAGTACATAATACGATACATTCTTATAAAATTCACTGTGCTTTAATACTCAACAAAAAGCAGGAAAACTTAGATTGTATTTTTCATTTTAGTACGTTGTTACAATCTGAAAATTAGGACCACTTATTCCAAAGGACATTTTTTTTTCTTTGTAATGAATTCATGTCATGATTCAGTGAGCAGGTATGTATTGAGCTCATACTGTATACTAGGCATTCTGCCAGTTTACTGGAGATACTTGGCAGAAAAGGTCAGACTGTATATGAATAATTTCAATACAAATTAGAGATGCCATATCTAAGGGAGCAGGGAGGCCACAAGACAGGCATAGATTAATGTTATGAATTTTAGAGGAAATACTAGTAAAAATCCTCATGGCACAAAGAACATTAAAGCTGAATGGTGAAAATGCACACATACAAGGAAGCAGTTAAGGATGTATCAGGAGGGGGAATTGCATGAACAAAGCAGAGAGGAGGAACCAGGCAAACTGACCCCAAATAAGGGTGAACAGTGCATGCGCCTTGAGAGAAAGGGAGGAGTTTGGCGGGCTGAGGAGGTGAGATGGGGAATACCATCAGGGCTGATGGCCAAGTGCTCTGAGTTTGGGTTTATTGAAGTAAATGGGTCACAGCAGATGTTCCAGAAGTTGGCATATCTTATAGTCAAAGATCTAATGTTAGAACCACACACATTCTACCCTATGAAAGAGCTCAATGCCTCAAATCTGAAAAATAGAAAAATAACACATCATCATTCCCATTCTCCTAGGGAAAGAAGTCCCTTCCAGTTTGAAATATGATGGAAAGCAGAGACGAGAGATGATTTCCTAAGAAGATCCCAGTATGCAGAGCCAGGACTCTGGCATTAAGAAAATGCTACAGTTTGGATGTTTGTCCCTCCAGATCTCATGTTAAAATTGGATCCCCGGTGTTGGAGGTGTGGCCTAATGAGAGATATTTTGGTCGTGAGGGAGGATCCCTCGTGAATGGATTAATACTCTCTTGGGGTGGGTGAGTTCTTGCCTATTAGTACTGGAGAGAGCTGGCTGTTAACAAGAGCCTGGCACCCCACCCCCTCCCTCTTGCTTTCTTTCCCACCCTGTGATCTCTGGACACTTCAGCTGCACTTCCCCTTCGGAAGCAGCCTGAGGCCCGCAGCAGAGGCAGATGCCAGTGCCCTTCTTCTTGTACAGTCTGCAGAACTGTGAGACAAATAAACTTCTTTTCTTTATAAATTACCCAGCCTCAGGTATTTCTTTATAGGCACACTAGCTGGCCTAAGACAGGAAAGCACTAAAGCAGTCAGCAGAAAGTGGGAAAAAGTAGATTTGAGGCAGGGAAAAGTAGGAGAAGAAAAGGATCTGCCTTCACACTGTGTATTAATAGGTCAGATGGGCAGATGGGAGGGATCTGCTCATCTGTTTTTCAAAAATTGCTTTCGAGGCTGGTAAAAATACAAATTGGAAACTATCCAGCAAGTTGCGGCCAGTCAATTAAATAAATGTGGTCAGCAGAACCTAGACTCTTCCCAGGTTCTCCCCAGCCTGAGTGTTACCATAGGGAAGGGAGAAAGGTGGACATGTAACATGGGACTTATATTTTTTAATTAACTTTTTTCTTGAGATAATCATAGATTTAAAGGCAGATGTAAGAAATAATACTAAGATAGCATGTATTCCTTTTACAAAGCTGCCTGGATAGTTTTATAAGTTTTACAGTCTTTTCAGGGTAGCTATAAAATCTTACATTCCCACCAGCAATATACATGAGTGACCCATTTTCTCTACATCCTGGCCTGCGTTTGATACTTTCAGTGTTTATTTTAGTCATTCTTAAGGGCATGCAGCAACATCTAATGGTTATTTTAATTTGCATTTCCCTGTTGTTTAATAATGTTGAGTATCTTTTCACATGCTTATTTGCCATCTGTATATCCTCTTTGGTGAAAGCTGTCATTTAAAAATTTTCTAATTGGATTGGTTTTTGTTTGGTTTCGTTGTGTTTTGTTTACTGCTGAGTTTTGAGAGTTCTTTATGTATTCTAGATACTAGTCCTTTGTCAGATACGTAGTTTGCAACAGTGTTTCACAGAGCAAAAGTTTTTAATTTTGATGAGGTCCAACTGATCAACTTTTCTTTTATGGATAACGCTTTTGGTGTCAAGTTGATTAACTCTGCTTAGCCCTAGATTCTGAAGTTTTTTTCTATTTCTGTTTTGTGAAAGTGTGATAGTGTTAGCTTTGAATTTAAGTCTGGGTTCCATTTAGAGAAAATTTTTGCATATAGTGGAAACTTAGGCCCCTGCCGATAGCAACTGATATTGATTATTGCAAGTTTAGATAGGAATTGACGTTAATACTGGGTAGAGCAATTCTCTGACTCTATTTTTATTCAAAATAGTGTTTACTGTTTTATATCTAAGTCTACACAAAAGTATCCTGGAATTTTAACAGGGACTTAATTAACCCTGTAGATTGCATTAGGATCAGTGATATATTTAGTATGTTAATATTCCAATTCATGAACATGGCACACATCTACACTTATTTAGGTGGCTTTAATTTCCTTCTTCATAATTTTGTAATTTTCAGAATAGAAACCTTATACAGGTTTTGATATGTTTATGCCAAAGTATTAATTTTCTTTGAAATGATTATAATTGGTATTATATTTTAATTTTTCCCCACATATTTATTGTTTGTTCATGTTCATGCAATTTATTTTTCTATGTGGACACTTTTTCCTGCGACCTTGCTGAACTCACTTATTAATTCTAGTAGGGTTGTTTGTAGAATATTTTGGGATGTTCTGTGAAGATAATGATGTCATCTGCAAACAAGAATAGTTCTGTTTCTTCTTTCCAATCTCTATGGCTTTTATTTATTTTACTTGCCTTACTTCAGTAGCTAGAATGTCCAGTACTTCTATTTTATGTAAGAAATTATGTAAACTTAGTGTTAATTGTTCTTTAAATATTTACTTCCAATCTCCAGTGAAATCACTAGAGATTCCTTTATTTCGGAGCTTTTAAATTGCAAATGCTTATCCTTGCCTTGTGTCTGATCCTACAGCACAGCCTTCAGTTTTTTACCTTTAAGTATGATGTTAACTGTAGGGTATTATGGATAATTTTCCCCAAATTCAGGTGGTTCCTCTTAATCCCTAACTTGTTGACTAAAAAAAACTGTCAAATTCCTTTTTGTTGTCAATTGATGTGATCATCTGATTTTTATTATTTAGCCAGTGACATGTTGGGTTGCATTGATTGATTTTAGAACATTGAAACATCATTGCACACCTGGAATAAATCTCATATTTTTATAATTTATAATTTTTTCATATTGGTGGATTAAATTTGCTAACATTTCATGGAGGAGTTTTACATCTAAGTTCTGTGAGATATTGCTCTACTTTTTTTTTTAGTAGAGTCTTAGAATTTCCTGTGGTATTATTGGTTATGGTAATATTGTTCATATAAATTGGGATGGAAAGTGTTTCTTTCTCTTTTATTTTTTGGAAAAGATTATTTATAAATTAGTGTTGATTCTTATTTAAATATTTGGTTTAAATGTCCAGTGAAATCATATGTACCACAAGGTTCCTTTACTGGGAAGGTTTAAATCTCTAATTTAATTTTTCTTATGGCTGAAGTTATTCATATTATTTACTTCATTTTGATTGACTTTTAGTAGTTTTTTGTTTTTTGAAGAATTAGTCCATTTGTTTCAAGTTGTTGAATTTATGTGCACAAAGCTGTTTTTATTGTCATCTTATTATCATCTTAATGGCTGCAAGATCTGCACACATCAGATTTTATCCTAGGTATTCATAATTATTTGTGTTCATTCTGTTTTTATCATATTTATTACAGTCTAATCAATTTTATTGATTTTTTTTAAAGAATCAGCTATTTGTTATATTGATTTTCTCTCTTTTTCTTGGCTTTTATTTCATTGATTTCCAGTCTTTATTACTTTTTTCCTTCTGCTTACTTTTAGTTTCATTTTGCTCTTCTTTTTCTAGTTTCTTGATGTAGAAATTTAGATTATGTACTGAGAGCTTTCTGCTTTTCTACGTGAACATTGAGTGCTGTAAATTTCTATTTTTAGAACTCCTTTAACTGCATCTCACTCATTTTGATATGCTATGTTTTTATATTTTCATATATATGTGTGTGTGTGTTTGTGTGTGTGTGTGTGTGTGTGTGTGTGTTTGAGATGAAAAGAGTCAGTTCTGTAAAACATTTGGTGAGATTTATTCTAAGCCAAATATGAATGACCAATAGCCAGTGACACAACCCCCAGAGATCCTGAGAATATGTGCCCAAGGTGGCTGGGCTACAGTTTGGTTTTGTACATTTTAGGGAGACGTAAGACGTCCATCAATACACATAAGATATACATTGGTTCAACCCAGAAAGGTAGGACAACTCAAAGTGGGCACTTCCATGTCCTGGGTAGATTCATGAATTTTCTAATTGGCAATGTTTGAAAGAGTTAAGTTATTGTCTAAAGACCTAGAATCAATAGAAAGAATGTCTGGGTTCAGATAAGGGGTTGTGGAGACAAAGTTCCTATTACGTAGATAGAATCAATAGAAAGGAATGTTTCTTATCAGACTTAAAGAGTCTGTTCTATCAGTCTTAAAATCTGTGTTTTCATGTTAATGCTGGTCAGCTGTGCCTGAATTCTAAAGGGAGGAGAGTATAATGAGGCATGTCTAACTCCCACTTCCCATCATGGCCTGAACTAGTTTTTCAGGTTAACTTTGGAATGCCTTTGGCCAAAAGGAGTGTCTCTCAATCAGTTGTGGAACTTAATTTTTGGTTTGTGTGTGTGTGTGTGTCCTTTGAGACTTTCTCTTTGACCCATCAACCTTTAGAAGTGTATTACTAATATGCATGTGTTTAGAGATTTACCTTTTTGTTGTGATTTCTAGTTTGATTCCATTTTGCTTAGAAAACATATTGCAGTGTATGTTCCAACATCTGCAAATCACCTACAATGATGACTATTCCATAGGCACATGAAAAAAGCATATATTCTGCTGTTGTTGAGGGTGGGTGTATATCTATATATGCCTATCTATTAATTGATATCTAAATATACATATAGACAAGTTAGATGTTCTTGGTTAACTGTATTGCTCTGACTTTTTATATTCTTGCTGTTTTTCTGTCTAGTAGATCTAACAGTAGCTAAGATGGCATACTAAAGTTCCTAATTATACCTGTGGGTTTGTCTATTTCTCCTTTCAGCTCTATTGCTTTTTGCTTCATGTATTTTGCCATTTACCCATTTATTGTCATTTGTTTTCCTAGTGTTTTGAATATTCATCATTATATAATGTCCTTCTTTGTCTCATAATTTTCTTTTTTAGAGTCTATTTTATCAAATATTTATATTGTCAGTGTTTTTAAAAATTAAGGTTTCCACAGCATATCTTTTTTTCCATCCTTTTACTTTCAATCTACCTATGTTTTTGAATTCAGGATGAGTTCTAATAAACTAGTTCATTAGACTGTGGTTGTTTTTGTTTGTTTTGCTTTGCCACTTCTGCCTTTAGCTGTTATATTAATTCCATTTACATTTAAAGTTATTGAAATGTTAGGGCTTGCAACTACCGTTTTATTTTCTGTTTTCTGTTTGATTCCTCCAATTCTCATTTCTCTGGTTCTTTATTGCATTCTTTTGGGTTATCGCTTTTCTTTGGCATTTCATCTTTACTTGTCTATATCTATATATCTTTTCTGTATCTATATATATTTGTCTATATCTATGTATATTTGTAAAGCTTTTGTTAGTTGTTTTTCTGGATTTTACAATATATAGATGAGACTTATAACAATCTATCAATATAAGCATTTTACCAGTTTGAATAAAGTATGGAAAGTTTACTTCCATTTAGGTTCCATATCCTCTCACTTTTAAAGATCATTGTCTTGTGTATCAGATGGTGTCATAATTTTTGTTTTAATCATCAGATATGGCATAGAAAACTCACGAGGAGAGGAATATTCTAGTGTTATTAATCCTTATTTCTGCTCTTTTCATTTTTATGTCTTCTTTCCTGACACTCTAAACATTCTTCTTTTATGATTTTCTTTCTATTTGAAGAACTTACTTTAGCCATTTATTCAGGTTTGGTCCACTTACAACAAATTCTTTTAATTTTCTTTTATCTGTGAATATTTTTATTTCTCTTTTTTTCTGAAAGATTATTACACAGGATATAAAATTCTGGGTTGTCAATGTTTTGCAGTACCTGAAAACTTGTGTGACACCTTTTTCTAATCTCTGTGGTCTCTGTGGAAGATAAGTCAGCTGTCATTTGAATCGTTTCCCTGCAGGTAAGGCATAATTTCCCTCTGGCTTCTTTCAAGATTTTTAAATTTTTCTGTTAGTCCTCTAAAGTTTATGAGGTGTTCTTTGTTTGAAACTCTTTATCTTACTTAGAGTTTGCTCAACTTCCTGGATCTCTAGGCTTGTGTTTTTCTCCAAATTTGGGAAGTTTATAGTCATTATTTTTCTGAATGCTCTTTCAGTACCAGACCTCTCCTGTCCTGACACATCATTGCAACCCATATTAACTATTTGTTGTTTTCTCACAGGTCCTTCATACTCTGTTGGGCTTTTTGTTTTGTTTTGTTTGTTCTTTTTTTAATCTTTGTTGTTAAGATTATGTAAATTCAATTATCTGTCCTCTAGTTTACTGATTCTATTCTCTGGCATCTGCACTCTACTTTAAAACATTCAGATCTAAAAAAAAATACTTATTACATTTTTCAATTCAATGATCTTGATTTGGCCCATTTTTAATAGCTTCTATTTCTTTGCCAAGACTTTCTATTGTTTATTTGAGAATAAAAATGTTAAATATTCTTTTTATTAAAGAATCCTTAATTTTTGTTGAATCAGTTACACGGCAGTTGCTTTAAAATTCTTAACATCTTATTTATCTCAATGTTGATACCTATTGATTGTATATGCTCATCCAAGTTGTGATGTTTCTATTTCTTGTTATGCTGAGAGATTTTCTATTGTATCCTGTATACTTTGCCATTATTTTTAGACAATTCTGGATTCTCTTTTTTTTTCATTTTGAAGGCAATCATTCCATTTAGGTTTTGCATACTTGTATTGGCAAAGAAAACCTGAGGACGGTAGGATGTCAAAATATTCCCATCAGCTTCTACTCAAATGTTTTCATTCCCATTGTCAGGGGCTCCCTTTTTCCCTATGAGTGCTGTAATAACATAGACAATCGAACAGGACTCCACACATTTCAACTTGTGTGGTATGTCAACAAACCCAGATATCAAAATTTGGTGCAGATATTTGGAAACATTGGACCTGAAGCTACAAGAGGTATTTGATGTTTTAGGGACAGATGTAGAAATTCTCTAGCTTTTTGACCATGCCTTGTTCTGGAAATTTAAACCCTCAAAACTGTTTCTTTTTTTTTAATACTCTCCTGAGTAGTAATAATGTTTGCTCACTCCAGACTCCTTTTATCTTCAACACCTTCATAGCAATTTTTCTACTACAATGGTCACTTTCTTCTAAGGTTTCCATTACTGCTTTATTCCAGGCAACTTAAGGTTATAACTAATGTGATCATATGGTTGCAACTGCCAGTGTCTAGTTTTCCACTGGATAAAATTAATTCTGCCTTCAACACCAACTTGGTTAGCTAACCAGTCCTGAATTCCCATTAATGAAGTTCTTATTATCTCCAAATTTATCTCAAAACCAAATACTGTATTAGTGAGTGCTCATTTAGAGAAACAGAAGCCTCTCTAGATATTTTTAGTAAAGATATATTTAATACAGTCAGTTAAGTTGTATATAACTATTGGGAAGTCTGTGGGAGAAAGGTCAAAAGGCCATTTTCAAAAAATCTAATATACAAGGATTGTAGGGAAACCAATACCAATAATTCAGCTTCTCACAGTGCCAGAGGGGATGATTAGCAATGGGACTTATGGCATCATTGAAAGCCACAATCAATAACCTCAGCTGCTTCCTGATGCTGGTGCTGGAGGAAAACAGTTTCTCCTTCTCTTTTACCTACCAAATGGGGTGTGAATGCCTCCCATCCTGGAAACAGAAATTGGAAACTCAAAGAAATTCTGAGAAACACTGATCCGGGCCTCACCCATGCTAGGTGAAAGAAACTGTGGAATGGAAAGGGGTTAATGCTGCATTTTCAGCAGGGCATCCAGCACTAGGGACAGTGGTCCAACTGCCTCAGGGACTCAGATGCTCCACCTTTCCCTGGAGCTTCTCTTGCTGGCTTTTTCCTCTCGGCAGGAAACACAAATGCCAGTTTTTCTCCCATTTCACATTTAATTTATCCCATTTTTTATTCATTATTTACTCCATAATACATGTTTTTATTCATTACTTACATTTGAAAAATATTGAAGAAGGACTCTGGTTATTCTCATTCCCTTGGGTAAATTTTACCTACCCTTCTATTCAAAACAATTAATTTGAAAAATTCGGTTCTGATTATGTTACTTAAAAAAAAAATCCTGCAGTCTCCTTTCCTCTAGTATTCCTTGTCTGACATCAAGGCTCTTTCTAATCTTACCACTACTTTTCTGTCCAAACATGTTTTATTTTTTATTGGTCTATAACACATACTCTAAATCAAGTATGAATAAGTTAGTTTGTCAATACTTGTTATTGCTCCTAATGATACAGACTTTACTCATCCTTTTCTCTCCAAGGGCATTTCTAGTAATATGTATTGATGTTGACTTTGAGCCACATCCTACCTTGAGGAGACCCAGAACCCAGTAGGATATATAAACAAGAAAACAACTAATCACAACTCAATATCAAAGTGCAATGATGGTGCAAAATGCAAGTATGGTGGGGACAGAGAAAGGATGCATGGTGCCCTCTTCTTAAGAGTTATAAGTAAGACTTTTTGGTCATAGTAATACCTTATGTAGCTTGTGATAAATGTGTAGGAGAGAGTCAGGTAAGCAAGAGGATGAGAATTTTAGAATAGGTGTTAAGAGCAAAGGGAAAGTTTAGTATGTTCAAAGAACAAGTAGATCAGGAAGGAAGGAATAGACAAGTCCCTGCCTAAGTACAGAAAGAAATGAGGCTAGGAAGACAAATAGCAATCATATTATTGAAGACTGTGTGGCCATACTTCAAAGCTTGAGCTTAGTATCAAAAATAATATATAGCTTTTAAAACATTTCAATCAGGTGGGTGTCATAATGGAATTTGAATTTTATGAAATGATACACATAATCCTTCAAAGAACAAATTAGAAGAGATTGAGCATGGACACTTGGGAGATGGTTCTAGTAACACGTGAAAAGAATGGTGAGAGCTGTTAGATAAAACATTGTTCAATGACACATGTTGAAGTATGATAAAGGATACTTTATTCAGCCCATTGCCATAGGCATAGGGGCCATAGCAATGGGGTTTTTCAGTGGACAAGACAGATGGGATTCAACTTGAAACACAGCAAGTTGAAACTTACAGCCAAGAAGCAGGGTGGATGCCAGTGGGTGGACAGTCACTAACAGGAAACCTCAGGGTAAGGGTGGATTCTGGCTAAACCAATAGCAGAATTCTTGCTAAAGACAGGCCCAGGTAATCGGATATCACCTGGGGAAAGGTGGCAGATGAGGAACCTGAAAAACCATCAATAATGAGGGGTTCTTGCTAAACTAAGACAGCAAGGTTTTGCTAAAACTGTATTTTATAAGGAAGTGCACAGTTGGGCCCACAAGAAGGTTCAGAAACCTGGCTAATGTTTGGTCAAGCAGAGAATCTTTGTCAGAGCCTCCACAGAGCATCTGTGTGAGAGTGAAGATGAAGAGGAGGGAATCATAGTCAAATCTTTGGGAGACAAGATGAACGGGACCTGCAGTGAAGATGGGGAATCAGAAATGTGCACCTGTAGAGATGGTGAGGGAGCCATGCAGACAGATAACAACTAAAGGTAAACAGCTTGCAAAGAAGCTGAGTTCAGTGCGGGGCCTGTTGAGTCTGAGGTTTTTGTGAGAGCTCCAAGTGTAGATAGCCAGTAGCCAGTTGAATATGGAGATAGTGCCGAAGAGAGAGGTGTGAAGGAAAGATACTGATTGAGAATTACTATAAACTAGAGGTCAAAGCTAATAAACAGCCCACTGTCATACCCCTCTGGAGAATTTATATTTAAAATCAGTGGAAGAGGAATGGAGCAATGCAGAGAGAATAGATGAAAAAGCAGGATAAGTTGAATGTGAGGAAGTCAAGGCAGGAGAGCCCTTCCAGAAGCCAGGAATGGCTGACAACCAAATGCAGCAGAGAAGCCTGAAGGATGACAGAGCAAAAAAGGATCATCAAATTCAGCAGCCCCAAGGCCATTCATGACCTTGGTGGGAACCAGTAAGATAACACAGAGAGACTGCAGGAGCATCTCCACTTACCATGCTTTTATTTACTCAGCATTCCCAGCTCAGGCATTTGTTAGAGATGCCAGAACAACCATGCTTCACTATTAAGGCTAAACTAGATTGACTCTAACAAACCTTGTAATCTTTAAGTAATTCAATGCCTATCAAAACAAAATCCAACACACTTTAAACATTGGAGTCAAAATCCAGTCACTCAAGAATGTAACATTCACAATTTCCAGACTCCAATTAAAATTTACTGGACTTGTGATGAAGCAGGGAACTCTGAACCATAACCAGGAAAAAATATTAGTCAATGGATACCATACTAAAACCTTAAGTGCCGAATTAATGGAATTGAAGGCAGGAGCTATGACACAACTATTACAAATATGCTCACAAAATTCAAGAAAAGGGTAAGCATAAGAAGAAGAGAAACTGAAAATATTTAAAAAAAGAATGCAACTTCTAGAGATAAGAATGTTATATTTGAAATAAAAAATATAACTGGATAGAGTTAACAGCAGATTAGTAGCTGCATAGAAACAGAACAAAAGAAACCAAAAACTTTTAAAACACACATCTCCTTGAGTTTGGAACTGTACCAAGTATCTTAACATAGTTATATTTGGAGTTCCAGAAGGGGGAAGAAAAATATTTCAAATAATGGCCTTTTATCTCCAGATTTAATAAAAACTATATTTCTACATACAACAGAATCTAAGAGAACCACAAATAAGATTAACACCCAAAAAAAAAAATCACGGCTGAACACAGGATCTTAAAATAAATAAAGAAAACATCTTAAAAGCAACCCAAAAAAAAAAAAAAAAAAAAGCATTACATATGGGCAACCAAAGATGAAAATGAATGCTTGGTTCTCGACAGAAACGTTGCGAACCAGAAGAAAATAAAACAATGTTTTTAAAGTATTGAAAAAGCAAAAGAACCAAGAAAGAATTTCATATCCAGTAAAATTATTCTTCATAAATGAAGTTTAAATAAAGACATTTTTCATACCAAAGAAAAAACTAAGATAACTTATAGTTTCAGTAGCACACTTATTCAGCAATGTACCAGACAGAGGTCCTAGCTTGTCTTATAAGACAAGAATTTAAAAATGTATATAAAATAAATAAAATTTTTCAGATGACATAATTGCATTGTAGAAATTCTGTGGAATCTATTAAAGACTATTAGAAAAAATAAGTGAATTTATCAAGATTACAGAATTCTAGAATAATATACAAAAATCAATTGTATTTTAACAAAATAGCACCAATTAAATTAATTTTTAAAAGAACCCTATATACAATAACATGAAAATAATATATGAATTGCATTATTTTATATTATATTATATTATTATATAATTAATTATATATTATAGTATATTATTAATATAGTATAGTATAGCATATTATTATATAGTATACAGGAATTAGCTAAACAAAATATGTGCAGACTTCCATGGTAAAAATTATAAAAGTTTGTTTTGAAAAATTAAAGATTAAGATTTAAATAAATTAAAATGTATACGAAGTTCTTTGGTTGTAAGACTCCAATAAGATATACTTTTTTCTTCAAAAGATTTATTTATTCAACATATTCCCAATAAAAATTTCAGAAATGTAGTAGTATAAATTAAGAAGGTAATTTCACATTTTTTGGAAATACAACAGTTCCGGAATAACCAAAACAACCTTAGAAAAAAAAAATTTTTGGAGGACTTACAGTGCATAGTTTTGGGTCTTCTAATGAAGCCCTAGTGTGATACTGGCATAAGGATGAATAGACAGATCAATGCAAGGAAACGAAGGGTTCAGGAATAGACAAGGGCACACATGATCAATAGATTTTAACAATGTTGTCAAGTTTTTATTTATGGGACTCCTTCAGTAGATGCATGTTTCTAAAATTGAGCAAGATGCTCATCACATGCCCGCGGCTCCATGAATACTCACTGAAATGGCTTGAATTAGAAAATGAAATAAACAAGAAAGGAAGAAGCTTGTTGCTACGGGGGATTAATGGGTGCATGAGATGGGGAATAGGAAGCAGTAGGAAATTCAAAAGGAATGTCCCCTGTAGGAAATGGGGTAGGTGGGACACAGGACACAGCGGTCTGGTCAGCCCCAGGGCCACAGGCTGCCTCAAACTGAACCCTGGGAGTCTCATTCAGCACCTTTTGCCCCCGCAGTACCCTCATTCCTCGCAGCTGCTTTGCTGAGTACATCCAGGCCTGAGAAGTCAGGAGGTTTCTTGCAGGAAGGAAGCACATGCATACCTGCTAGCAGAGGGAGACAATGGAAGTTTAGATTTCCAGTCTCATTTCTTTCCTGTCCTTTCCAGAGAGAATTTAGTGGTAAAAAAAAAATAAATAAATAAATAATAAAATAATTAGAAAAAGCATTTGGAGAGCTGGGGGCAGGGAGATGCTGGTTGGAGAAAAAGGAAACCTGGATTATAAATGAGAAAATTTCTATTTGTTCTCTTTTCATGTGGCTAAATTTTAGATGACTGCTTTGGCAGCTGGAAGTAAAGGGAATGTAATAATTTCCAAATCTGAACAATTCAGCCTACATCTGTGTGCTAGTGCTGTCCTAGTGGCAGAGGCCACCGAGGCACACAGGCAGTCCCGTGGGGCAAGAGTTCATGGTTCTGAGGAGGTGAGAAGGAGCTGATCCTGTCTGCTACCAAGTCTCATTATAAAAGGCAGTTGCCATAACAACTTACCCCACATTCACTATACAAATTGGAAACCTGAGCATACAGGAGACAGGACAGGAAAGGCACTAGAAGGCTATGCTGGCTCTTCTCACATTATGCCCATGCCTTATGCTACTGCTGTCTAGGGGAGCCATACATTAAATGTGCTGAATTGCTGTTTCACATGGTTTACATGTGACTAAAATATTTGCTGGAGTTTTAAATTGGTGTGTAAGAATGTGGTGGTAATGTTTGAGAAATTGATTGGCATCTTTAATAAGATGGAAATGCAGGACTGTTTCTCTCTCTTAAAATAATGGTGTATAAGTATCTTGTATCTGAGAATTCTAAGACATTATTGCTAAGGAATTGCGTGTGATTCACCAGGGAATGCTGTTTAGGGTGCTGAGCGTCATAATGTGAAGCAACATCAAAATCAGCTTAGGTAATCAAAAAGGCTTTGCAGGGGCAGTGTTGATTTAAAAAAAAAAAAAGAAGAAGAAGAAAAAAAAAGCCAAACTCTGTAAAATATTTGAATAGATTTATTCCAAGCCAAGTATGAGGACCATGACCCATGACACAGCCTCAGGGGATTCTGAGAACATGTGCCCAAAGTGATTGGGTCACAGCTTGATTTTATTCATTTTAGGGGGACAGAAGTTACAGGCAGACATCAATGAATACATGTAAGGTGTACATTGGTTTGGTCCAGAAAGGCAAGACAACTTTGGAGTGGGTGGTGGGCTTCTAGGTCATAGCTGGATTAAAAGGTTTTCTGATTGGCAATTGGTTAAAAGAGTTAAGTTATTATCTAAAGACCTGGAATCAATAGAAGGGAATATCTGGATTAAAATGAGGAATTGTGGAGGCCAAGGTTCTTATTAATGCAGATGAAGTCTCATAGGTGGCCACCCTTAAAAGCAATAGATGGCAAATGTTTCCTATTCAGACCTTCATTTATTTATTTATTTATTTTCTTAAGAGGGAGTCTTGCCCCGTCGACAAGGCTGGAATGCAGTGGTGAGATCTTGGCTCACTGCAGCCTCTGCCTACTAGGTTCAAGCAATTCTCCTGCCTCAGCCTCTCATGTAGCTGGGACTAAAGGTGGGTGCTGCCATGCCAGGCTAATTTTTGTATTTTTTGGTAGAGATGGGATTTTACCACATTGGCCAGACTGGTCTCAAACTCCTGACCTCAGGTGATCCACCCGCCTTGGCCTCCCAAAGTGCTGGGATTACTAGTGTGAGCCACTGCACCTGGCCAAATAAATATATTTTGAGGTAAGTTACTTTGACTTCTCTCAGGGCCTGCTATCTGTTATGTGATGCTATACTAGAATCAGGTTGAAATTTGGAGTCTTATTGCTACAGAGCCTGAAATAATGATTAGTATTCTGAAAAAGGAGGGGATTTCAAGGACCCTCCCATCCCCGGTTACTGCCTCCTTTCTCCCTAGCTTGGGTTTGCTTCAAAGGGTCATGAACATGTCATCCTGACCAGGCTTTTTTTGTTTGTTTGTTTGCTTTTTGGCTGTTTACTCTCACTCATTTTGGGGTTTCTGTAATCCTGTGATTTCTTTGCCTAGTTCTTGTTCTAGCTGTTCTTTGGGCTTTTCCATCCTCCTATAAATACCCAGTACTATTTCTGTCTCATTAAGATCTCTGTTTTAACATCAATTGCACCTGGATTCCAAAGAGAGACGAGTAGAATGAGGGATGTCCAATCCCCTCTTCCTGTCATGACTTGGACTAGTTTTTCAGGTTTCTTTGGAATCCTCTTGGTTGAGAGAAGGGGTCAATTCAGTCACTGGGACACTTAGAATTGTACTTTTGGTTTATAGCAGCAATAACTGAGCTCCATGCTGCTTTGTAACTGCCCCCTTTTTTCCTCCACCACCAGGTTCCCATCCCTCACCTGCACCTCACCCACACCAGTCTGCTTTTTTTTTTTTTTTTTTTGAGATGGAGTCTCGCTCTGTTGCCCAGGCTGGAGTGCAGTGGCGCAATCTCAGCTCACTGCAAGCTCCGCCTCCCGGGTTCACGCCAGAAATGACCAACCTGTTTTCTAAAGTGGTTGCACCGTTTCACATTCCAGCAAATAAAGGACCAGTTGCTCCACATCCTTGTCAACATTAAATATGGACAGTCTTGTAATGTTAGACACTCTGATAGGTGCATAGTGGTATGTCATGGTGGTTCTGATTTGCCTTGCCCTAAAGACTAATGACATCAAGCACATTTTCATGTTTCTTCTTAAAGTTCACATCCATGTTTCTTCTTAAAGTTCACATTTTTGCCACTTTAAATTTTTTTGTTTTATTTTTATTGAGTTCTTTGTCTTATATGATTTACAAACACTCTCCTAATCTGCGATTGCTTTTTGGATTTTGAAACCATATATTCCAAAGAACAGAAGTTCTTAATTTTGAAGTTCAATGTATCAGTTTTTTCCTTTACAGCTTGTTTTGGTATTGTTTTTAAAAAACTTAGCTTAACTCGATGTCACAAAAATTTTTCTCCTTCTTTCTTGACATTTTATAGTTGTTCATTTTACATTTAAGTTTGTGATCAATGTTGAGTTAATTTTTGCATATTGTGTGAAAGAAAGTAGTTTTGCATGTGTGTCTCTGGATACCCACCTGCTCTCCTATATTTGTTGAAAAGTTCATATTTTCTGTCTCCACTGAGTAACCTATTTAACTTTGTTGAAAACAAAATGACTGTATTTATATGTGGCAGTTTATTTCTAAACTTTGTAATCTGGGTCATTAATCTATTTTTTAATCTTGATGCCAATCCTATACACTTTTTATTACTATATATTTTACATAAGGTTTAAAGCCAAATAGTTTATATCCTCCAACACTGTTTTTCTTTTGTGAAGTTGTTTTTCTAGGTCCTTTGCATTTTTATATAAATTTCAGAGTCTGGTTTTCAATTTGGGATTAAAGTGAAGTGATAGATTACTTTTTGGAGAATAGAGAAATTAACAATATTGACTTTTCCAATAAATGAACATGGTATATAGCTCTTTATGTAGGTATTTTTTAATTTATTGAGAAATGTTTTTTAGTTATCATTGTGCACATCCATAGTTGGCTGGCCCCTGGCCAGAATATGATCTGCCTTGGTAACTGTTTCATGAGCACTTAAAAAGACTGTGTGTTCTGCTGCAGGTAAGTCGACTGTTTTCTATAAATGTCAAGTGAATAAATTTGTTGATGATGTTCTGTAATTCTTCTACATCCTTACTGACTTTCTTTTTCTTCTGTCAGTCATTCAATGAAAGCTACTGAACTCACTAAATATAATTGTGTTAATTTCTCATTGTTTAGACACTGGTGTCTACATGAGTGGGGAGGGTGAGAGGAAGGGGAGAGTCAGAAAAGATAACTATTAGGTAATGCGCTTAATACCTGGGTGATGTAATAATATGTATAACAAGTCCCCATGACATGTATTTAGGTAACAAATCTTCACATGTACCCCCAAACCTAAAATAAAAATTAAAAAAAATTTTTCTTGTTGTAGTTTTATGAATTTCTGCTTCATGGATTATGAAACCCTATTATTTAGTGTGAACATATTTAGGATTGCTGTTTTCTTGATGAAATAACATTCTTATCAATATGAAACGATCTTTTATATTCCTGACAACATTATTTGCTATGAAATCTACTTTGATGTATTCAAATAGCTACTCCAGCTTTCTCGCTATTAGAGTCTATCCATTCTTTATAACATAGTAAACAGGATGTAGTTGAATCTCGCTTTTATATCCAATCTGAAAATCACTGCCTTTTAAAATTTATTTTTAAATTTTGGAATCTTTATAGATTCACATACAGTTATAAAAAATAATGCAGATGTCCTATCTATCCCTTAAGCAGATTCTCTCAAGTGTAACATCTTGCAAAACTATAATAAAATGTAACAACGATGTTGATGACACTGATACAACACTTGTACCACCACAAGTATCCCTCATGTTGCCCTTTTATTGCCACACTCACTTCCCTCCCAGCCCATTCCCTCCTGAATCCCTAACAACCACTAAATTTGTTCACCATTTTTATAATTTTGTCATTTCCAGACTATTATACAAATGGAATTTGATAACATGTAAACTTTTGGGGTTGGCTTTTTCATTCAGCATATGCTTGGAGTTCCTTCCAAGTTGTTGGGCCTTTCAATAGTTCATTCACTTACACTGCTGAGCAGTATTCCATGTAATGGACACACTGCAGTTTGTTTAATCATCCACCAACTGAAGGACATCTGAGTTATTTTCAATTTTTGGCTATTACCAATAAAGACGCTATAAGCATTTATAAATGGGTTTTTGTGTGAACATAAGTTTTGTTATCCTGGGATAAATACCCAAGAATACCCAAGAGCCAATTTATATGGTAGTTGCGTGTTTCATTTTATAATAAAGTGCCAAACTGTCTCTAGAGTGGCTGTACAATTTGACATTTTCACCAGTAATAAATGTAATCCAGTTTCTCTGATTCTTCACTAGCATTTGATGATGTTTTTTTAATTTTATGTTTCCTGATAGGTATGTAGCAATGCTTCATTGTGGTTTTAATTGGCATTGGCCTGAAGGTTCATTATTTTGAGCATCTCATATGCTTGTTTGCCAATTATATGTTCTCTTTAATGAGATGTCTCTTCATGTATTTTGCTTATTTTCTAATTGGGCTGCATTTTTTTTTAATTTTTACTGTTGACACTTGAGAATTCTTTATGTATTCTGGATACTAGTCCTTTGTCAGACATGGTTTGCAAATATTTTCTCCAAGTATATTTTTTTCCATTCATTGTCTTCCTAGTCTTTGCACAGCAAAAGTTTTTATTTTGATGAACCTCAATTGATCAATTTTTCCATTTATGGATCACGCTTTTAGTTTCAAGTCTAAGATCTATGCCTAACCCTGGAGGCTAAAACTTTTTTTTTTGAGAAGGAGTCTCACTCTGTCTCCTGGGCTGGAGTGCAGTGGCATAATCTTGGCTCATTGCAACCTCCACCTACTGGATAAAAGCAATTCTTCTGCCTTAGCCTCCTGAGTAGCTGGGATTACAGGGGCCTACCACCATGCTCAGCTAATTTTTTGTATTTTTTTGTAGAGACAGAGTTTCACCATGTTGGCCAGGCTGGTCTTGAACTCCCGACCTTGTGATTCGCCCACCTCAGCCTCCCAAAGTCCTGGGATTACAGGCATGAGCCATCACGCCCAGCCTATTTTTTCTACAAGCTTTATAGTTTTATGTTTTACGCTTAAGTTTATGATCTATTTTATGTTTATTTTTATAAAACGTATGAGACTTACAATGAGGTTTGTTTTTCTGTCTATGAGTCACCAATGGCTCCAGCACTATTTGTTGAAAAGGCTATCTTTCCTTCATTGAACTGCTTTTGCACCTTTGTGAAAAATCAGTTGGGCATATTTGTAAGAATCTATTTCTGGGTTCTTTATACTGTTTACTTCAGCTATGCAACCAACCAATACCTAATAGTCTTGATTACTGTAGTTATTTTTATAATAAGCCTTAAGATCCAGTTGAATGATTCCTACAACTTTATTCTGCTTTTTCCAAATTATTTTAGCTATTGCAGTTCCTTTGCCTTTCAAAATCAATTTTAGAATAATCTCGTCTATTCCTAGAAAATTTTGCTGGGCCTTGATAGACGTTACTTTAAAGCTATATATTAATTTGGAGACAATTGGCCTTAAACTACATTGGGTCTTACCATTCATGAACATGGTATAGTTCTTTATGCATGTGGATCTTCTGTGATTTCTTCCATCCACATGTTGTAGTTTTCTGCATCTATCTATATATATATCCATATATAGATATATATTGTTCATGTTTGCCTAGATATGCACATATTTATTTTTGAGTGATGTAAAATAGTACGGTATTTTAAATTTTGACATCTACATGCTCATTGGAAGTATACAGAAGTACAATTGGTTTTTGTATGTTTATCTTCCATTATGTGGCATTCTTGAACCTATTAGTTCTAGGAATTTTTTTGCAAAGTCCATGGGATATTCTATGCAGACAACCATGGCATTTGCAAATAAGGGCAGTTTTATTTATTTATTTCAGATATTTTTCTTTTATTTCTTTTCTGTCTTACACTAACTAAAATTTTCAGTACTGTGTTGAACAAGTATGTAGCAAGCAGACACCTTTGCTTTGTTTCTAATCTTAGAGGGGGAAGCATTCACTCTTTCCTCATTAACCACAATGTTAGCCATAGTTTTTTGCATAGAATCTTTATAAAGTCAGAAAAGTTCAAGTTTTTCATTTCTAACTTGCTGAGCTATTTTCATTTCTAACTTGCTGAGCTATTATCATGAATAGATTTTGGATGTCATCAAATGTGTTTTCTGCATCAATTGATATGGCTATGTGATTTTTCACTTTAGAAATATCATGGTACATTGAAATAATTGATATATAAATATTGAACCAGGCTTTCATCCCTGGAATAAACCCCACTTGGTCATGATGTATAATTTCTTTTATATATTGCCAAATTCTATTTGCTAACAGTTTTTAAGAATTTTTACATTTATATTCACATAGGATGCTAATCTGTAGGGTTGGCTTTCTTGTGCTGTCTTTGTCTGGTTTTGGTAACAGGGTAATATTGGTTTCTTAATATGAATTAGTATGTTTTCTCTCCTTTTCTTTCTGGGATAGATTGTGAAGAATGAGTAATAATTCATTTTAATCATTTGGTAGAATGCTCTAGTGAAACAATCTGGGCTTGGGTATTTTTGTTTTTTGAGATGGAGGATTAATTGCAAATCCAATTCCTTTAATAGTTACAGGGCCATTCATATTATCAATTTTATATTGGCTGAGTTCTGAGAGTTTGTGCTTCTGGAGGAATTGGTTCATTTCTTCTAAACTGTTAAATTTTATGTGTAGAGTTGCTCCTAGTATTCTCTAATTCTTTTGACATCTGCAAGGTCTCCAGTGACAGCCCCTGAATAATTCTTTGCCTGCATAATTTTTATCTTACCTATTATGTTTTTGTCATTCTTAGCAGAGGTTTGTCAATTTTATTGATGTTTTTGAAAAATCACCCCTTTGAAGTTTCTTGAGGTGGGAGCTTATATAATTGATTTGAGAGTTTTTCTCTTTTCCAAGGCATTCACTTACCGATGTAAATTTACATTTCGGTACTGCTTTAGCAGTATTCTGCAAATTTCTATATATTGCATTTTCATTTTCACTAAGTTCAATATATTTTTTCATTTGCTTTCTGACAGATTTCCTCCTTGAAAAACCTATGGATTATTTAGAAGTGTGTTGTTTAGTTTTTAAGTAAATTTGAAGATTTTCCTGTTCTATTTCTATTGTAGATTTCTGGTTTCACCTCTTTGTGTTTGGCGAATACACTGTATTATTTCAATTTTGTTAAAATTGTTGAGGTTTGTTTTATGGTCCATGAAATTGTCTACCTTGGTATATTTTTTTTCTGAATACCAGGAATATTTCATGTGTTCTGTTCTTTTGGGATAGAGTGAACTACACATGACAATTAGACCCTTTTGGCTCATAGTATAGTGAGTTATTCTATGTCTCTGATGATTTTCTTCTGCTAGTTTCTGAAAGATAGTTGTTGATGTCATCAACTAAAATTGTGTATTTGTCTCCAAATCCTTTCCATTCTATCAGTTTTTCCTTTGCATATTTTGCAGCTGTGTTCTTTAGTGATTATGCTAACTGCTTGGTTTCTCAGTGAACTGACCCTTTTATCATTATAGACCGTCCTTCTTTTTGGTAATTTTCTTTGCTTTAATATTTATTTTATCTACTATTATATAGTCCACTCCTTTTTTCTTTTGATTGATGTCTGCATGAGGTATCTTGCTGCATTATTTTCAATCTGTTTATATGGTTATATTTGAAGTAAGTTTTTAAATAAACAGTATATAGTTGTGTCATATTTTAAAATCCACTCCGAAAATCTGTCTTTTAATTGCTATTGAGATCATTTATGCATGATGTAATTGTTGAGAAGTTAAGGTTTAAATGTGCCATTTTATTTTTGTTGTCTGTTCTCTCTCAGAGAACATTTCTGAGCTTTCTTTTTTCTGAATTCCTACGTTACTTAAAAAGTTTTTTAATTTCATTTTTTGTAGTGTTTTGGAGTGTACCTTTTGTATAGTTTTTCTGTAGTGTTTCAGGGTGTGCCTTTTTTATATAGCTTTTTGTGTTTTCTCTGGTATTATATTCATAACTTATCAAAGTCTACTGGTGTCATCATATTATTAGTTTGAGTAAAATCTAGAAACTTTATCTCTCCTTAGTTTTTTTTAACCCGACCTCATTTATAAGTGTCTTAAACGTTTACTTCACATACATTAATAATCACAGGAGATAGCTGTAATTTTGTTTTAATGCTGTGCCATTATTTGGAAAACTCAAGAGGAAAAGGAAAGTATATTGTATTTATGCATATGTTTGCTTACTGTATTTTGTTCTTCCTGCTGTTCCGTTTCCTCTATTTATTGTTAACTTTCTATTCTGAGAACGTCCTTGAGCCATTCTTTTAGAGTAGGCTTGATTGTGACAAATTCTCACCATTTTCCTTTATCTGAGAGTGTTTTGATTTCCCCTTCATTCATGAAGCATCTTTGCACTGTATAAGGTTCTGGGTTATTTTTTCATCATCAACATTTAAAATTTTTTGTGTCACTTCTTTCTGGCCTCTATAATTTCTGATGGGATATTGCCTGTAATTTGAATTGATTTTCTGCTGTGGTTAGGTTGTTGTTTTCTTTTGGAGTTTTTAAAACTATTTTTGTGATTCATTTTTTGAAATTTGATTATGTTGTGTCTTGGTGTAGATTTCCTTGGGTTTATCATAATTAGGCTTCCCTTAGTCTCTTGGGTTTATAAGTTCATGTATTTTGCCAAAATTGGGGAATTTTCAGCCCTTATTTTGTCAAGTACTTTTCAGCCTCTCACTCTTACTTATTTCATTTTGGTAGTCCAGTGATATAAATATTAGATATTTTGTTATTGTCCCACAGATTCCTGAGGCTCTGTTCTTTTCTTTTTTCCTTTTAGTCTGTTTTCTCTTGTTCAGATTGGAAAATTTCTATTCTTTTATCTTCTAGTTTACTGCTCCTGTCCTCTGTCCCTCCATTCTGCAAACCCATAGAAGTTTTTGTTTCAATCATTGAATTCTTCAGTTGTACAGTCTATGTCCTTCTGTATATTTTCCTATTTCTTTGCTGAGACTTTCTATTTATTAGTCTATTCTATTTCAAGTATGTTCACAATTACCCATTAAAGCTTTTTTGTATTGATGGTTTTAAAATCCTTGTTAAGCTTATTTTATCATCTCTGTGTTAGCATCTATTGATTGTTTACATTCATTAAGTTTAAGATCTCCTGGGTTTTGGTGTTAGGAGTAATTACTGATTGACATTTTGGATATTATGAAACTCTAGATCTTATTGAAATCTTCTGTGTTAGCTGGATTTCTCTGACATCACACTGGCAGGAGAACTGGGGAAAGAGGTTACTAACATTACTTCCATGTGTGGGTAAAAGTTTCACTGTCCCATCTTTCCTCCATTGAAATCCAAGGTAGGGAGTGCTTCTCTTTCCTTCTAGGTGGATTAAAGAAATATTTCCTAAAGTGTCTCCACTGATCACTGATACCTTACTGACTGAATAGGATAGATCTGCCTTGCTCCTACTTCTCATGTTACCTCCACAGACACCATGGCGGTGTGAGAGGCAGGGTGGGAGTGTGTGGAAGGGAGCCTCACTACCACTGAGGGGTGGTGAAGGTCCAGAAGGTCTATTAGGCCTTCTCTTCCATGATTCTAGCAAGGAAGGGAAGGGGCGCCTCATTACTGCTGGATTAGGAAGGAAGTTCAGACCCCCCAACATGGTCTCCATCTACTCCTTGTGGGTCTAGGCTAGTGACCACTGAGCAGTAATGAACGTCCTGCCTCCCTACCTGGCCTTCTCTGACACCATCCCAGAAAATGACTGGAGCCTCTTGTTATAGTCAGCTGAGGCATTTGACATTGTTGCCATCAAAGGAGCTGGCACAACCATCTTTCTGCAGTTTGGCTGGAGTATAGAGGTTATAATCTAAAAGTTTTATGTTTTGCCAGGCTTCCCTTTTCCTGATCTCTTGGCTGAGGAAAGCATTTTGTTTTCAGCCTTTCATCCATGCCCATTCGCATTTTTGGCATCCTGGCTTCTTTAGTTCCAAGTCTAAAATATATGAGAAAAAAATAAAGCTCACAGGCCTCACCACCATGTCTTTCCTGGGTTCTTGAGGTCCTGAAGTCCTTGGCCAGTCCTCCTTATTCTCTCCTACCATAGTGTCTTCTTATGTTGCTTTTATATATGAAGTGCAAAGATTTTAGTTTTCCTTAGAGGAGAACAGGAAGACGTATCTTCCTGCATCTGTACATAAACAGAAATCCTATTCTCTGCCTTTCAGTTGAGGTGTATAGATCCTTTACATTTCACATGATTATTGATATGATTGGGTATAAATGTATGGTATTGCTATTTGCTTTCTGTTTGTCTCATGTGTTTTTAATTCTCTTTTCCTCTTTTCTGCTTTCTTTCAAATTAATTGAATATTTGTAATAGCCCTTACTTTTTAGAATAATATTAAATTTACAGAAAAATTAAGAAGATAGTATAGTTGCTACATATTCTGTACCAACTTTCCTCCTATTAACATCTTAAATTAATATGACATATTTATTACACTTAATGAACAAATACTGATACATTATATTAACTAAGTCCATAGTTTATTTAGTTTTGGGGGGGTTTTACCAAGTGGGTTTTTTTTTTCCCCTGTTCTCAGATCCTGTCCAAGATATCACATTGCACTATTGTCATGTCTCCTTAGCCTTCTTTAGGCTCTGATAGTTTCCCATAATTTCCTTGTTTTCATGACCTTGATGATTTTGAGAGATACATGTCAAATATTTTGTAGGATTCCCCTCTACTAGAGTTTGTCTGATGTTTTTCTTATGATCAGCATGGAGATAGGATTTTAGGAAAATCACAGAAGCAAAATGCCATTTTTATCATATTATTTCAAACGTACATACTGCTAACATGACTTATCACTGCCAATGCTGAGCTTGAGCACCTGGCTAAGGCAGTGTTGGTCAAGTTTCTTTATGTGTAAGCTTTCATTGTTCTCCCCCTTGCATGCTGCACTCCAGAAATAAGTCACTGTGCATTGGACACTTGCAAAGTCATGAGTTATGTTTTTTCTCCTTACAAATAAAGTGTCTACATAAATTACTTATATTTTTCCTTTTTGAGATGTTTGTATCTTCTCCCTATTTTTTGTTTTAGTCATTTATTTATATCAGAATATATATTTATGAATATTTCTTTTATACTTTAGGTTATAATCCAGTACAACTTCCTGTATTTGGTTGCATGAATTGTTCTAGCTTTGACTGATTTCTCAATGATGTCTATTGTGGTCTAAGAGCATAGTTTTTGATCTTAGTCTTTAAAACTTGCTCTTTAGTCTTTAAAACACAAGAGTGTTTTATGGCCCAGAATGTGGTTTATCTTGGTCATTGTTTCATGTGAACTTAAGAGGAATGAGTATTCTGCTATTATTAGATACATGCTCTATAGATATCAATTAGATCAAATTGATTGATGGTGCTGTCAAGTCAATTATATCCTTATTTTCTGTCTGTTTCATCAATTACTGAAAGAGGAGTGGTAAAATTACCAACTATACGGTTACTTTTTTCTCCCATATTTTGATGATATTGTTAAGTACATACACATTAAGAATTATTATGTCTTCTTGGGGAATATTTTTTCATTATGTAGTGGACTTCCACATTTCTGACAATCTTCCTTGTTCTGAAATCTACTTTGTCTGAAATGAATTTAGCTAATTTGGCTTTGTTTTGATTAGTATATAGCTTTCTTCATTTCTTTATGTTTAACCTATCTGTGTCTTTCTATATAAAGTGGGTTTATTTTAGACAACATAGAGTTGGTTATTGTTTTTATCCACTATGACAATCTCTGTTTTTATTTTGGTATATTGAGACCATTCACAGTTAAAGTGATTTCTTGTATAATTAGTTTAAATCTGTGATTTTGGGACAATTTTCTACTTTTTGTGCTTGCTGGGTTTTTTTCCTTTTCTTTGCTGCATTTCATGCCCCCTCTGGTCTTAATTGAGTATTTTATATGATTAGATTTTCTCCCTTCTCTTAGCATATCAATTATACTTCTTTTTAAAAATGTTTTTAGCAGTTACTCTGCAGTTTGCAATATATATTTACAACCAAATTAAGTCCACTCTCAAATACTACCATAATACTTCATAGGTGGTACAGGTACCTTTAACAGTGTACCCCAATCACTCCTTCCTGTCCCTTTTAACTTTGTTGTTGTTCATTTTCCTTATGTATATACTATAATCACTTAATGCACTGTTGTTATTATTAGTACTTTGAATAAACAGCTACCTATTCAGTCAATTAAGAATAAGAATAATATAAAATTTAATTTTATAATCACTTATTCCTCCTTTGATGCTTTCCTTTCTTTATGTAGATCCAAGCTTCTGAGTAGTATTATATTCTTTCTCCCTGAAGAACTTCTTTTAAAATGTCTCAGGGTTACATCTACTGGCAATAAATTTCCTTAGTTTTTGTTTGAGAAGGTCCTTATTTCTCCTTAGCTTTTAATGGATCACTTTATAGGATGTAGAATTCAAGGTTGCAAGTTTATTTTCTTTTGTTTTGTTCAAGTGTTAAATATTCTACTCCACTCCCTTCTTGTTTGCATGGTTTTCGACAAGAAGTTTGATGTAATTCTTATCTTTTTTCATATATCTGTTAGGTGTTTTTACTCTCTCTGGCTGCTTTCAAGATTTTCTCTTTGTCTTTTGTTTTCTACAGTTTAATTGTGATATTCCTAGGTGTATTTACCTACACTTATTTATCATGTTTTATATTCTCTGAAATTCCTGGAACTGTGTCTGTCATTAATTTTGGAAAATTTGCACCCACTATTTCTTTAAATATACCTTCTGCTTCTTTTTCTCTCATCTCTTGATATTTCAATAACACATGCTAAACCTTTTGAAATTGTCCTGCAGCTCTTGGGTGTTGTGTTCTTTTTTAGTTTGTCTTTTGGTTTTCATTCTTTGAATTTAATTTGGGAAAGTTTCTTTTGACATAACTTTAAGCCCACTGATGTTCTCCTTGCTATGCCTAATCTATTGATGAGGCCATCAAGGACATTTTTCATTTCTGTTATGGATTATTTTGATTGCTAGTATTTTTTTGATTATTTCTTAGAAATGCTATCTCTCTGCTTACATTACTCATTTGATTTTGCATGTTGCCTGTTTTTTGCTTTGGAGCCCTCAGCCTAGCCATAGTTATTTTAAAATTTTTGTCTTATAATTCCAAAATCTCTGCCTGGATGAGGTTGACTCTGATGCTTGTTTTGTCTCCTCAGATGGTGTTTTATCTTGCCTTTTAGCATATCTTGTAATTTTTTGGTGGTTAGAAGCCACACATCCTATGTCAGGTAATAGGAACTGATGTAAGTAGTATTCTAATGTGAAATTTAAATTAATCTGCCTAGGAGGTGGGTTGAATTTAATATTTGCTGTACGTGTAAGCATCAGAGGTTTCATTTTTTCTAGAATCCCTGTAAAGTCTAAGCTTTGCAGTGTTTTTAATCCCCATAGCACAGGGGAATTTATTATGGAACACTTTCCCATTTTGCAGGACATAAGGTGTGAGTAGGCTATATTTCCATAATAATACAAAAGGAATATATAGGAAGTTGCATTCAATAGCTCAAACTTCAGCTCAAATATTCAGCAAGTGACCTCATACAGCAGACAATCCCCATGACATTTTTTTTGAAGCAATTATTAGTATTACTTCCTAGATAGCAACATTCAGAATCAGACAAAGTTTATGCCCTAAATGGCACAGTCAAGCCCAATGAGCTCCAAACCCCAAGCATTTCCCACCATACCAGGCTCCCCTCCACCCTGCTACTCTGAACCCTACCCATGTCCAGAGGTTGACTTCTACAGTCCTATAAAGTAGCTATATCAGGTCCTGAAAATGCAACCAAGGAAAGGGACTGGAATTTCTCTCTCAGGGAGAGAAGACAACTGGATGATGTGATCTTCCTGGGAGGCAGATGCCTTTAAAATCTCTGCTATTAATCATGGTTGTATTTTGTTAACCAACCCAGACAGCCCACAGTGCTTTCTTCTCTATTATCTTATTTGACACAGAGTTCCAAGAAAAATAATACTTCTACTGAAAAAAATAAGTATATGTGATTTTTGTTACATGGTAAGAAAAAGGAGGGGTAAGCTAGCCCTAGAGAATAATTTTCATAATCCTTTCAATAATTCAGCACACCCTCCTAGTTACAAGATATTTAAGCTGATAAACCAAGATTGTGTAATACTAATTTGCTCGATCTCAAGTAATGTATCATCTGTTTTTTCCACCCTTCTTCTTTAAAAAATGAGTAAAAAGAAAGATTTGCAAAAAGAAAATAAAATTATAATTAACTTGTTGATTGTGTCCTTAAGTGAGTGTAAAGGATTCTTGTTTTACAGTACAAAGCCATATCGTTTTCCACAAGCACTGTCCTTTAACAGGTACTGACCTTTAAAATTGATCAGACAGAACATTTTCATCTGGCACAGAAGGGTATCAGTGATTTTCTTACCCTTTAGCCTTTCATGAAGTCAAAAGTAGAGACAGAGATTTGGGAGATGATAAAGGCCATCTGACAAAAGCATTATTCAGAGTTTGGCTTGATTATTAGAACAATATTCTTGTTTCTGGATCCATTTAAGTGATGACATAATTTACTTTTGAAGGTTGTGTTAAATATCATACAACTTAGAGGCAAGAAGTGAGGTGAAATGTTTCAAAGCTAACAATGTCATCTACAATACGCAGAAGAAATAAAGGTGATGATGTGAGTAGATGCTTCATTTTTAGTCAACACTTTTAGTGTGACAGGGCACTAAATCTAAAGTCCAACTGATGCACTACCTTTCAAGAGATGCCAAATTCTAAGGAGAATTTTAAAGTCATATATTTTAATGTGTTTTTAAATAATATATTTTTAAACTATCTTAAAATAACAAATTTTCTAAAATTATGGAATGGTATTTTTCTAAAAATATGTTCTTTCCCAAGAATGGTTATTGGATTCTGAAATTTATACGGATGACATGAGTGAGAGTGCAGGTGGAGAGAAGGACTTTATGTGGGGATTTCTTCAGAGAAAGTGCTACTACGACCTTTCCCCTCCCACTGAGCCAGAGGTGAAAATGGGATGTCTGCTCCCTTCACATCTCAAGAGAAAAGCCTTAAGGTTGATAACCAGGAGAACTTTGACATGGTGGCCAGTCGTCTGCTTTGCCCAGGACTGCGGGGCTTCCTGAGACATGAGACTTTCTCAAAACTGAGAAAGTCTGGGACAAAACAAGAAGATTTGGTCACTTTCAAACTGGACTGTGGAGTTGAGGAAGAGCTCATGACACCAGTATCTGAGCCATGACATAACGCTACCCAGTCATCATGCTAGAGTCTGTTTACTCTCCAAATCCCCTGAGCTATAACGTGAGTCATTCTCCTCTCTTCAAAGTTCTAATTCATCCTACCATCAGCTGATGACTAGCTCCCTATTTCACTGAGAAAATAACACAATAAGAAGAGAGCAGGCACAGAACTTCCATAAGCCTCCTCAACCATATCTGAGCCACGTGCTCTGCATTCCTTCCTGTGGCCGAGGAGAAACTCCCTGTGGCCCCCACACTTGACTGTTGTCTACTATTGCCTCTCCCCAGTGAGGAACACATACCTGTAATTCTGTCCTCTCCCCTATAGCATCAGTTGTTGTTCTTCCTCACACTCTCTTCTAGGTAGTTCTCATCAGCATAAAAACATGTTGTTATCTTGCCCGTCTTAAAGCATGCGCACATGCACACACACGCGATTCCCTTTTCACCCCAGTTACCTTCTCATCTACGGAACATCTTGCCATTTTCTACTCTCACTGTGGCTTTTTCTCCCAATTTTTATTAACATTACAGTGAGGCTTTTCTCCTGACATGCCACCAAAATATTACTCTTGTGTAAACTATTAGTAACCCTTGCTTTGCTAAATCTAATGATCAAATTTGGGTCCTCATCTTCTGTGCCATATTAGGTACATTTACTCACTCCCATCTCCTAAAAATCCTTTCCTAATTGAGTTAGAGGAAAGCATGCCAATCTTACTAAAATATCTACAGATAATAAGCACCTATTTTATATGCAGTCCTATATTAATTATTTTGAGAAATATGTATAGACCATAAAATATGTTTTCTGCTGCCAACCTATAGGCTCACTATGGATGCTTCCCTGGCAACTCTTTTTCCTTCTGCTTTGCAGGAGAGGGAAAGCTTAACTTTGAAGATCAAAATAGTACTAAATATTTTGGTCTGAACATACTAACTTCTGAATCAAGAATCTCTTTTGCAAACTGAAATTACGATGAAACTCCCTATTGCTTTCAAGGGACCAGAACATTTTTAAAGCTTGCAAGAGTGTCTATACACCAGCTTGGGGAAAGCTTCTCACACTGAAAGAAATTTAAAATGTAGATGAAATATAAAAATAAAAGTGAAGATTGACAGCATTTTATGTTATTCAACTTATTGCTCACAGTCCCATCTATATTATTATAATAAGTGTAAATCCAGAAAATCATGTGTTTAATACATGCCAGTGATGTCACACAAGGAATAGTGCCTCGATTCACATTTCCCATTTCTAGTCCTGGCCTCGAAAACGTCTTTCTGTAGTAACAGGCAAGATCCCTCTAGACAGCATGCTCTGCCATGGCCTATGCTATGTGCAATTATTGCTTTTACGTTTGCTGACAGTGTGGGTGGACTGTAATGGTTGATTTTTTTGTGTCAACTTGGGTAGGTCATGGTGCCTAGATGTTTAGCCAAGCATCAGTCTTGATGTTGCTGTGAAGGTATTTTTTAGATGTGATTAACATTTAAATCAGTAGACTTTGCATAAAGCAAATTGCCCTACATAATGTGGATGGATAGGCCTTTTCAAGTCAGTTGAATCCGTTAAAGGACCCATGAGCAAAGATTGAAATTTCTGAAAGAAGGAATTCTGCTTCCAGACTGCAACATAGAAACCCTCCCTGTTTCTCCAGGCTGCTGGCCTGCCCTGCAGATTTCCAACTTGCCAGCCCCTACAATCACATGAGCTAGTTATTAAAAATAAGCCCCTTACATTGGTTCTGTTTTTCTGGACAACCCCAATTAGTACAGTAGTGCAGGTGGTTTTGTGTGTGTGTGCGTGTGTGTGTGTGGAGTGCCTTTTATTAAAAGAAATTGAGGATTTTGCAGTTAAAAGTAATGGTTAAAAACCTCAATTACTTTTGCACCAATGTAGTAAATGCCTGACAGAGGTCAGGTTCCCTGGAATATAGTCTCTTAGCCAAAGATTTTGAAGAGGAAGTTTATTTGGTGAATGCTGTTGGGATCAACAATCAAGGGGGGGTTGAAGTTGATAGAATTGGGAAAATGCAAGGTTTGTAATGTAATGTGGTCATAAGACAGAAAACTCTGCGTCAAAAAAGGGCCCCAAAGGCACCCTCCATAAAGCAAGGGGGAAGGCCTTTCTATCCCTCACTGTCACTAGTCTTGGTAAATGTGTTCCCCTGGAGAGAAGCAGGGTCTTGGTCTCTTATTGGCTCAGGCAACGCCTAGAGAAGCACTGGCTGGGCTGTCCTTTTTCAGTACTGTTGGCAGTGTGGAGAATGAGTGCCACATCTTAGATGTGGCTCTGGGACGTGCACTTCACCATCCTCTGCAACATTTTAGGATTCCAGAGCTCCAGAGGAGACACAAATGTTGCTGATATTTAGCCATTTAGCAGAAACTTTAAAAAAGATTTTTTTCAAATAATTTTGGACACACCAGATACTTAAAAAGATAGTACAGGGTTCACCTATGTTCCCCTAATGTTAACATTTTGCATAATCACATGCATTTATTGAAATGAAAACATTAACATTAACACAATACTACTAACTAAACTGCCGACTTTATTAATATTTCCCCGGGTGTCCCACAAATGCCCTTTATCTGTTTAGGGCATTTGAGAATATCACATTACAAGTATTTGTTTTCTCAGTCTTTGGAAAGACAAAATGCAACAGACAACTAAGGATGATGTAATTCAGGTCATCGTAACAGGGAGAACATACATCACTGAAGAGTCTGGTGTCTTAAAGGGGCAGGTAGACAGGTTGAGAGTGAGAATATGTGGGCTGGTAGGTAGATTTCTCCATCTTCATGCTTCTGGGGATACAGGGCTCAGGTGAAGCTCAGCAATGTCTGTCTCTCCTTATCTTTCATGACCCTGCATTTTTGAAGAGTACTGGTCAAGTATCTTGTAGGATGTTCCCAATTTGGGTTTGTCTGGTGTTTGCTCATTATTAGACTAGGGTTAGAGATTTTGGAGAGGAGCGACATGCACATGAAATGCCCTACACATCATATCATTAGCAGTACATGGTACCAATAGGTCTTATTCCTGGTGATGATGATCCTGGTCACCTGATTAAGGTGGTGTCTGCTAGGTTTTCTTCACTCTGATGTTACTATGGTTTCCTTCCTTAGGCACTTTTTTAAAATATCAATTGTGTTGCAGGTACCAGGCAGGCTCTGAAGCTTCAGATTATAACAACATCAGCTTGTTGCATCCAAATAATTCATACAGCCCCACAGGGAAACAGACAGGTGTGCAAAGTGGGGGTGAGAAGAGCAATCTCAATGGGGATAGAGTTTTCTCAGCCCTAGATTCCCAATGGAATCCCAGCCTTACAGAGTGGGAAAATTAGTCGTAGGTCTGACCCTTGCATAAAAGGAGTTAGATTTGTATCACAAGAAAAAGAGCAAGAACCATGTCCAGGAAGTCGGGTACATTCCACATTCCTTTTCACCTTTCTACTCTTTAAACAAGCATTCTCTAGGCTGCATCATTATTAGTTTCTAAATATTTGTTCAATCCATTTTTCTTTCCCAATCTCTTACCTTAGTTCTCTCCCTCTCCAGTCCCATCTCTGTAGAACATATGGAATGTTCTTTGTAAAGTATGTCCCCCCCAAACCCCAAATATTCTTCCCAATGTCACCACACAGATTGATCTGGTTCAATTTTTATGTAACAGAGTCATGAGTTGTTTGTCAGTTGCCATGGACCCCCATGTTGAAGGCCACGTAACTGGAGCATTCCCAGAGAAACAAGGCACCAGTGGAACCTAAGTGGTCAGGCAGAGGAGTGGGACTGAATTAAGAAGCCAACAGGGTATACCAGGATCCAGGATCCAATCATATCAAGCCTAGCATCTCTCCATGGCAGAATCCAGTCAGATCATGCCTCCCAGCAAAACCTAATTGCAAGATCCAGTCAGATCGCACCTCATTACCTATGCTTATAAAGCTCCAAACCCAGCTCAGAGAGACAGAGTTGAGCATTTCCTGCTCTCTTCTGTCCAAACAGCAATCAAACTTCCTTGCTGCAAAAACTCAGTGCTTGGGTGTTTGACTTTCCGTTGTGTAGGCAAATTGATCCAGTTTGGTTCGGTGACAGTAAAATCCACTAGACAGAATTCCATCTTCTTGACAAAATGCCTAAGTTCCTCACTCCCTTCCAGCCCCTCAGCCCACTATGCTGATTCTCATCCCCCTCTCTCCACTCCAGCGACTCTGCATTACTACAATTTCCTCTCTGCCAAAGCACCTCACCTCTCAGGCATTCATCGTTTCATTCCTGCCAGTGGCTGCCTTCCACAACCCCTCTTCTCTGGACTTACTCCTATGTATCTTTTAAGACCCTCCATCTGGGCTGCTGAATGGGTCCCCTGGATTCCCTGGGGCACTTCCTCTGCTCCCTCCCTGGGTCATCGTGCCAAGTGCTGGCTGTGGGGATGCGCGCCTCTGTGGCTCACCAATCCTGTGACAGGAAGGACAAGTCACTCAACCTCTCTGCTCTTCAGGTTTCTCATCTAAAACCATAAGGAAAATGATAGCATGTGCTTTTGACAGTGGGTGAAATAATCTGTGCACAGTGCTTAGCAGAGAGCCTGGCACATACTAAACAGTAGTAGCTTATTATTACCCCAGTGTCACTGCTGCCACTGTTGTTAGTTTCTGTGACAGGCTCCCACACTGGGCTGTGGAATCCCATAGGGCAGTACCTATGCCAGTATCTTCTTTGAATTCCATGAAAAAACACAGTTCCCACTACATGTTGGCTTTCAATAAATATGTAAGGAAGAAAGATGAAAGAAAGAAAAAAAGTTAAATCCATATTCTTTTTGTAACACTTTCAAACCAATGTTTCTTATATGCCTAGTACTGTATGTATACTCATACAATCAATTTCTTGTAAAAATGCAAATCACTAATAATCAGTGTTGATCAACACTAAAAATATTCAGATAGGTCCAACCTAAAATATTACCAGATTTAAGGGAAAGAATCTGAATAGAAATAATTGCTAAACTCTGTTTTCCTTTAACAATGTCTTTCCATAAACATTTATTTTAAAAATAATGAGGCAGTGGAAGAACTTCTGAACGGAAAAAGCTCCGCTAAGCCAGAAATGCCAAAAGATTTCTAAATTCTAGAGCTTCTCCCAAGAAATGCCTTAATCACTGTGAAATAAGTTCTTGGAAAATGCCTAATATCCATCCAGACGCATTCCTTGATGCTAAGAATGACTTCAGGTTCCCGTCTGACCTTTAGTTTAGGGTTCCCTATAGAGAACAGCTGCACAATGATCCCTAAGTTGTCAACCAGATGAGCAGGTTGTTGGGATCAGTGTCACCCACGTCCTGCTGGTCAGTGAGCCCAGTGTGGGGAAAGTGGGCTCAAAGAGTCATTCATCACAGGGCTCAGGTCTTTGCTAAAAGATATTTTGCTTTGCAGAAAAATTCACTTCATAATACAATTAAGTAAGAAATTACATAGTACATTTAAAATATATTTTAGCTTTTGTGTGTTTGATTTCTGCAGAAAATGTTGGAGTTGGGGATTTCCAATTCAACCCTATCAATATCTTTTTTCTTTATAGCTTCTAAAAAATGGGATACATATGCAGAACATGCAGGTTTGTTACATAGGTATACGAGTGCCGTGGTGGTTTGCTGTACCTATTGACCCGTCCTCTAAGTTCCCTCCCCTCACCCCCCACCCCTCAACAGGCCCTGATGGTTGTTCCCCTCTCTGTGTCCATGTGTTTCCAATGTTCAGCTCCCAATTATGAGTGAAAACATGCAGTGTTTGATTTTCTGTTCCTGTGTTAGTTTGCTGAGGATGATGGCTTCTAGCTTCATCCATGTCCCTGCAAAGCACATGATCTCATTCCTTTTTATGGCTGCATAGTATTCCGTGGTGTACTTGTACCACATTTTCTTTATCCAGTCTATCATTGATGGGCATTTGGGTTGGTTCCATGTCTTTGCTATTGCAAATAGTGCTGCGATAAACATACGTGTGCATGTATCTTTATAGTAGAATGATTTCTATTCCTTTGGGTATATACCCAGTAATGGCATTACTGAGTCAAATGGTATTTCTGGTTCTAGATCCTTGAGGAATAGCCACGCTGTCTTCCACAATCAACCCTATCAATATTTACTAAGTAGTTACCAACAACATCATACTCGCCACATTATCCCTCACTTTAACAACAATTTTCTCTAGCGTCGAAGTATTAACATGGTACCAATATTTTCCACCATTATTTTTGCTTTCTTCTATCATCAACCCCTTGAAAGAATTGTTTATAGCATCTGCGTCTAATATTTGTCCTTCCTTTCTTCCATTCCATCATTCCAGGTGTCCTTCCTTTCAGTGAAAATGTTCTCATCAGGGTCACTAATAAATTTCACTTGATCAAAACTCATGGGAAATTTGCAATGTTCACTATACAGGCCTTTCAGCAGCATTTGACACAGACTTTGTCATCACTTTTTTAGAAAAGGCTCTGTGGGCTCAGCTGTCATCGCATCACTCCCTCTGGCTTTCCTCCTGTGTTGTTCCTTCTTCTCCCCAGTTCCCAGAAAAGTTCCGGCTCAGTCTGATTCTCCCATTCTCACTGCACTCACTGCTCTGAAGCTGCACTATGTGCTGATAGCTTCCTAATGTTTACATCTCCTGTCCCAACATTTCTTCTGCATGGTATTAGCATGCACAACTGCCTCTCGACCTCCATGCATTTGAATACCAGCTATTCAGCCTTGACATCCCCCAAACTGAACACTTGTTTGCCCAAACCCCTCAAGTGTGTTCCTACCTCCAGGTCCTGAGACCATAAATGGCTTTCCCCAGTTGATGATATTGAGAGCTTTGGATCCTCAGGACTCCTCTTCTTCTCTAGTTCCTGATGCTGTCAGCCACTGCCGCCATCAACCTCCTAGTAGGACCCGTCTTCACTCCCTGGGTAACTGCAAGTTACTGGGTCTGGGCTCCCATGCCCATCTTTCCCCTCAACTCACTTCACAACAACGACTGCTTAATGGTTTTTCATCATCATTTGGAACAAAACCTAGCTTGGTCATTTGTGTCTTTTAAAACATTTCTAGTCCAGATGCCGTAGCTCACGCCTGTAATCCCAGCACTTTGGGAGGCCGAGGCGAGCAAATCGCCTGAGGTCAGGAGTTCAAGAACAGCCTGGCCAACATAGTGAAACCCCACCTCGACTAAAAATACCAAAAAAAAAAAAAAAATAGCTAGTCATGGTGGCGGGCACCTGTAATCTCAGCTACTCAGGAGGCTGAGGCGTGACAATCGCTTGAACCCCGGGGGCGGAGGTTTCATTGAGCCCAGACAGTGCCATTGCACTTCAGCCTATAGGCGCCTGCCACCATGCCCGGCTAATTTTTGTATTTTTTAGTAGAGACGGGGTTTCACCATGTTGGTCAGGCTCGTCGCAAACTCCTGACCTCAGGTGAAAAAAAAATTCTCTATTTTAACGCTAGTGTGTCAAATTTATTGACATAAAGTTTTCCCAGTATTCCCTATTTTCCTTTCTGTCTGTAGGATCTCTGTAGGTGCCCCTTTTTCATCCTCTCTCCTCCCTCCTCTCTTCCATGTCCCCTGCCCCTACTTCCTCTCAGCTAGATATTTATCAATTTTATTCATCTTTTCAAAGAATCATCTTTTGGTTTCTCTGAACTTCTCCAGTGGCTGTTGTTAAATAAAGTGGGTTCTTACTGAGGGGAGGGGGATTCTGCTTTTCACGATCCCCCAAGGGGTGGCCCAGAGCACCTGTCCTCCAGTGCTCTGTCCGTGGCTGAGCGTCTGACCATTGCCCTTGCTCAGCACACGTATTTGCAGCTCCACCTATTTATCTTGGTCACTCCATGAAAATCACCGTGCAAATTTTATTATGTGAAAAAATAAATAAGAAAAGACTTTTCAGCCAGTAAAACACAACTAAATATCAAGGGCGATCGTGCCCCGCACACTGGAAAGCCTCTTTTCAGTCATTTCCTAGACACTCTTCAAGACTCATTTCAAATGTCACCCCATCTACCTGCCCTTCCCAGATTCGAGCAATCAAAGGTGATTTTTATCCTCCTTGGAATTGATAGGGTCTCCGGATTTTGAGTCTCTAGATGGTGCTTTGATATTCTGCAGCCCTGCTTCATGTCCCTGATAGGTTGGGCGTGGTCTGAAAGCAGATCATTTTCATAGGAGTAGGTTAACTTGCCCGGCACATGCCAGGTTGCAAAAAAGAACAAAGGGAAGAAAAAAATAAATCAGTCATCAATCTATCAAAGCTTTCTCAGCTTTGTCACCTACAATCTCTGCAACCCTGAGCACACTCATCAAACTTTTTGTGCCTCAGTCTCCTCGTTTGCTAAATAAAGTCACCTGTACCCACTGGCAAGGTGGTCAAGAGGACTATAAATTAAGATTAGAAAGCCCAGTGCTGGTCTGATAGGGAGTTGGCATTCCAACAATGGAGCTCTGCTTTAATAAACCACAATAACCCACAATTTGACTACACTCATTGAGTTAAAACAGTATTCCTAGGAACATAGTTTCCTCCAATCATGCTGCTCCGTCCAGTCCAGCTGTTCCCGTTAGCTGCCTGAGTCAGCGTTAGAGGTTTGGATACAGCACAGAAACCTGGGTTCTGGAGTGAGAACCCTGGGTTGGAATTACAACTTGGTCTCCCTCTTTCTGGAATGATACTTACAGGAAAATTAAGATGATGAACACTTCTTTGCCGTGTTCCCAGCACTTTCTCCCTCTTGTCTTCTGAGAGCTTATATACCTGTAGGCCCATGTTTGAAGCTCTGCCTCCAACCCACCTGGGCTTCCTCCCCTCTTCCCTCCCACCTCAGGGATGGCTCCCTTGTCCTCTACAAAGCAGACTCCAACCTGGAGACAGGCTTCCTGCAGACTCGTTGGCTGTATGTATAAGGAATTCATGTAGGTGACCTCAAGGGCTTGGGTTTAGAAACATTTGTGAGGGCACCCCTGGCATGGAGGTTTTACCAGCCCTGCAGGAACTGACCTTGGAGAGTGGGAGGGGGTGCAGGACCATCACTCAGGACCCTGGGTGGCTCCAGGGCTTTTGCTTGTCTTTTCAGTACAGGAGTCTGTAATGCCTTAACCAAGTTACTCCCCACTAACAATGCTTAATGACTTCCTCAGTCCTTATTTCTATTTTTGATTCTTACTAATTTTCCAGAGAGAGAGAGAGACTAATTGACCGAATTTCTGCCATCTGTACATAGGCAGAGGTCCAATTATCTGTGTGTGTACGTGGTGTAGAACAAGACCGCAGCCTCATAATAAACCTGCCTGGACACAAAAGTCCTCATGCCCTACTCACAGTCAGCTTCCCTAGGTTGAAATGAGACACAGGAATGTGCCACGTTGGCTCTGCCTCCACCTGAGGCCTGCAGGCTGGGAGTGAGACACGTTGTGCAGTGAGTCAGTGCAACTGCAGTGTCATAAACACTCCCAATATACGGAAACATTGCATGACAGGCTAGGGGACACCCAGTATTCACGCTGGATCTGAATTCATTATGGTTACAGTGGTGAATAATTTATCAATGACTTAATTCATTTATTCATTCCACAACAACTTATTGAGCTCCTACTACAAGTCAGGCAAAGTAATATGTGCTGAGGATATTACAGAAATTAAAAGAGAAAAGAATCCCTGTACTCCTGGAACATACATCCCAGGGAGAAGACAGACAATAAATGAGATTAAAATAAAATAAAAGTATATACAGAACAGGAGATGGGGTAAGTGGGGAGGAAGCAAGGGAGCCCTGAGGGGGAAGCAGATACTTCAGGGACCACCTGTCCTATCAGGCTCCGGCTCCTATTCTGAGCAGGACTCTCTTTTCCCAAACAGAGGAGTTACCTGGTCAGAGTCACTTTGTCACAGGATCACAGAGGCCAGGAACTGGAAGCTTCCAGTTCAATTAACAGAGCCAAAATGTGCTGTCACCTGGGAAGTTATGAAAACTCTTCTGGTAAATTGCTGCTTAAACTATACCCCTGAGGTATAATTCCTAAACACAGCTCACACCTAGAGTGACCCATGATTGGTGTAATCCTCAGTTCAGATGAGAACACTCCTTGCCAGCATCAGAGGTTGTGCCTCGGGTCCCCAGGTGAAACTTGGTGAAGTTAGTTTACTCCCTCCTTCTGACTTCCCACTCCTGGACAGCTCTGCCTACCTCCAAAGTCCCTTGGTATGCAAATATCTCTTCTCAGAAATGTGACCTCTTTTAGGGAGACTTCCACAAGCCCAGAGGCACCATTAATCTCCCGTGGCTTTAGGCATGGACTTCACCCCCCTTGTCACAGCATTGAACTGTAACTCATGGCCTGATGCCTCCTTCTCCACCATTGAGCCTCTGGTTGTTGCAGGTCTTATTCGTAAATGCTGCATTCATAAACAGAGCAGCATCTTCAGCAATGTTCTCCAGTCAATGGGCAATTCTGGAAGCCTCAGTCCTCTTGCTCCCATGGTGATTAGAGAGACCCCATTGCATCCAACTGTTTTTTTTTAAGTGCAATGTGAAAAAGTGAGCTATTTTCCTGCCCATAGAGAATGAGAGGGAGAGATCAAAGAATAGTTGGAAAAGGGATATTTAAGAAAAGTTGACAGTAAACTACACCCCCCTATTCCATCATATCCTCATCCTGTGGGCTGACGTTGAAGGATGAAGAAATCCCCACAGGGCCAGGGTTTGGGGAACGGGGCATATCACACGTCTTCTGAGAGCTGAATCTATATCCCTCCCACTCCCCATTGTTTCCAACTATTTCGGTAGTAACAATAAAATTCATTTTTGTGAGCCTCAGATAATCTATAGGGTGCTAAAATTGTAAAAGGATATTCCAAGAATAGTGAGCTGAAAGGTTCTAATTAATCGCGGGATAACTGCTCTATATTAAAACCTGGCATTTTTTGGGAAAAAAAACGATAATTGCAACAGATGAATGAAACATGTTAATTAAGTATGAGGCAATGGAAATACTGACACAGTTGTTACAGAAGAGCAACTTCCTTAGAGAGCAATAGGAAACTCGGGATTTGTAGACAAAAAAGTCATTGTTTCCCACACACATGGAAATCTTGAAAAGTTAAAGTCCGATAAAAAGATCATGACACAGAGTTTTAAAAAGGATGCAAAATCAAAACAGCAAAAGTGTATGCAATATTTTAACAGAAATATATAACAAGCAGTATTTGTTTTCCTATGAAATACAGAAGACAATAATAACAAATTTGAATGATAGGAAGAAAGGGATGTTTAAAAGACACTAGACTACATTAAAGGCAAAATCCCCATCCGAACATGTCACGGACCCCACGGAGAGGCTGGTAGCAGTGGCTTTTCACATGAATCTGAAAAAGGCAGACAAAGATTGTCAATGTGAACCCAATCAAGAAATTAAATAGTGGGATGGGCCACACCCACTTGGAATAGAGTAGCCTCTTCCTGTTACAAATCTGTCTTACCAATTCAGTGTTGTCTTTCTGGAGATAGCCACACTATGGTCCATCCTACACGCAAGTTGTGAATATTTCTCTGAGAGGCTTAACCTCTCAGACCTGATGCTTCATGAGGGGTGCAGTCACCTCTCAGACCCAGCAAAGGAACAATTTTCCTTAGGAAACAAGTTTCCTAAATTTCTTTTATTTCCATGTCTAGTACTTTATTTCCAAAGTTATTCTTTTTTGCAATATTCAGTTGAAGGATCATCTCTTGCCTCAGTGTCAACAGTGAATTCGAAGGCTTGTGGCTAGGAGCACCTCAGTCGGGTGGCTGAGAATGTGTCTTAAGCAAGCAGCCCTGCTGGCCAGCTGGCCACAGCCCTGTTTCCCCACTCAGTGTGTGGCCCAGCAGGTGACTGACCCTCTGGGCACCTCAGCTATCACATACATAAAACAGGGATGAGAATGGCAGCTACCCACCGCATCCTGTGGTTTATGAGGATTTAGTGAATTAACACCTTGCCAACATTAGGAAAGGATGAATGGTTGCTGCATTGATGATAAAGATTGTTACCAACCTAACAGGCCACTGGATCAGAAGTAGACCATGAATTCTAATTCTTTTCCACGAATCAGGATTTACGCATAAAAACCTGACTACCAAAGGGAGAAAGTGGCAAGCAGAGGCAGGAGGACAAATGTGAGATTGCTGATTCCCAGACTGGGAAAATGGATTAGATTCTCCACCAACTTCTTCCATTGCATTACTTAAATTATTTAGTTCATTAAAAAGAACACGGCTGGGTGCGGTGGCTCATGCTTGTAATCCCAGCACTTTGGGAGGCCGAGGCAGGCGGATCACGGGGTCAAGAGATTGAGACCATCCTGGCCAACATGGTGAAACCCCGTCTCTATTAAAAATACAAAAATTAGCTGGGTGTGGTGGCACGCGCCTGTAGTCCCAGCTGCTCAGGAGGCTGAGTAAGGAGAATCACTTGAACCTGGGAGGCAGAGGTTGCAGTGAACCCAAGATGGCACCACTGCACTCCAACCTGGTGACAGAGTGAGACTCCATCTCAAAAATAAACAAACAAACAAACAAATAAATAAAAAGAACACTGTGCTCATGATGTATGAAGCTCCCTCCAAGGAAGAGACAGGTTCAGGAGTCACAGCTTGGCCCATTCCCACTGTTTGTGGGGACTGTGGGGGCCCACAGTGAGCACTGAGAACAGAGAAGGCTGAGCTTGGATTTGCCCCATGGTGTCCAGTGTTGATGCTGTGCTAGTACAGGGTCTCAAGGGAAGCAAACCAAGACACAGTCCTCTCCCCACTGGGGAGAATAGGACAATAAAGAAAAATTGCACATACCTGTTAGGTCACAGATGTGATGTGAGCCTACAAGAAAAGAACATAGTTCACCTGGAGCATTAACAGCGTCTAATCTTGTTGGAAACATCTAGTGAAAAGGCCAGAGTCTGGGGTAAAAAAGGGAGCAGGAGTTATTGTTGGCCCTAAAAGCTGAAGATGAATCAGGGTGCCTCATTAGAACACAACAGAGTGGAATAAATGTCGCATCCGTGAAGAGGCACAGAGGTGGGAGGTGAGGACAGGGCTGTGCCCATCCACTCCTAACCCTGTTGATGTGTGTTCGCATGGTGGAGAAGATTTCAGAGTCCCAGGCACCTCAGCTGAGCCTGGGTATAACAGGCAAACCCAGCCATTCAGTGACTGAGGAACTGTCTAGAAGAGATGTTTCTGAATAATAGTATGACGATGCTTTCCACACATTTTTTTTTCCCACAATGGAAAATGAACTTGTATTCCCACCTGCAGCATCACATTGCAGAGTCCACTCGGAAGTCTGGAGTGGGTGGGCGGGAGCAGTGCGTGCTGCGAACCTGGAAGCCAGAGCCCTGCATTATCCCGCGGGAGCTCTCCGGAGACTGTGCCTGTGAATGGGCTTTTGTTCCCGCTGCAGGCCCAGGTCCCAGCCATTCATGCCCTCAGCAAATGAGGAAAGGTGCGGAAGACCTGCCCTCGTGGATATGTCCTCACCACCTGCTGGCACAAAGGGCTCTTTCTAAAATCCTCTTACGTAAGAGGCTGTGTTGGCTCGGAGCGCTCCCAGACATTCACAGGAAGGTCAGATAACAAGAGCCACTCAGTCAATGGGGCTCTGATTGGGGAACAATGCCACTGGAATTGTGTTTGTTAGAGAACACTTTGAATGCGGCCTGGAGTCTCTTGTTCTGCTCCTGACAACATCCTTTCTCTGCTGCTGGGTGAAGCAGGTTGCCTTGTTCTGAGTGAGACCCAGTGGGTCTTTGTCCTGCAGCCTCATTTAGGAGCCCCAGATGCCCTCTTTTGTGAGCCCCCGAAGGCTGTTCTTACACACGTGGAGGCACATGGAGGGAGAATGAAGGCCTAGGAGGCTCCTTGTACAGCCTTGTGTGCTGGGCTCCTCCACCATGACTTGATGCCTAAGAACTTCTCCTCTGGGGCTCTCTTGATCTCTCCCTGTCTCTGTCTATCTGTCTCTTTATCTCTCTGCCTCTCTTTTCCTGTTTGTTTCTCTATCTCTACATCTCTCTCTCTCTCTATCTCTTTGACTATCTATCTCTCTGTCTTTTTATCTCTGTCTCTATCTCTTATCTCTCTGTGTCTCTCTGTCCGTCTCTCTGTCTCTATCTCTATCTCTTATCTCTCTCTGTCCTTATCTGTCTCCATGTCTTTATCTCTTATCTCTCTCTGTCTCTATCTGTCTCTCTTCTTTTTCATTCCCCTTTTCCCCAGGAAAGAATCTCTAGAAAATTTCTTGGAATCTCTCTCCAAGCAAAGGCCAAGAAACCCTTCCCTGGGCCCTGGAAGAAAATGTACTCTGGCTGTGCAAGTCCCAGCTCTAGTAGTGCCCTGGGCTGGTGTCCTGCAGGAAAGGGTTAGCTCAGATGGTAAAGAGCAAAGAAGAATGTGCTTGATAGAAGAGTGGAACTGAATCCTCCTCACACCACTTACTGGGTGAGCCCCAGTTTCTTTATTTATGGGATGGAAATCAAATCACCACAGGATATTCATGAGAGTTACCTTACATCTTAAGGTGAAATGCTATGTGTAATGAAGTTTCAACATTATTAGCAACCAGGACCAAGAAGTCCTCAAAACAAAATTAATCATGCTTAGAAATTCAGCACTGAAGGAAGAGTACAGTATCCTGGAACTATTGGTCCACATAATTAAAAAAAAAAAAAAAAGATGTAGGCTTTTCCCTGTAAAATGAAAAAACAACTTCTGAGAATATTGGTTGAGCACAATCTTTGGGTCAGCCTATATCAGAGACCCAACTCTCAGGCCAAGGGGCAGCTCAGGTGCAGAGAGCCAGCAGTACACAGGGCAGCACATGTGCTAGGCACCTGGAAGGAAAGGGGTCACAGGCTAGAGACTCAGAGAGATCATGCAGAGAATGAGATGGAGTCTATGGAGGAGGAAATGCAGTCTCAGCTTTGGACACAAGAAACTGTGCCTGAACAGGGAAGGACAAGGCTGCAGAAGAGAAGAGGATGCCCAGGAAAAGCATGTTACAGGCCTAGTGGAACGACAACCAAAGGAAGGACAGAGGGAGGGACTAGGTCTCACAGGGTCCACAGCAGCCCATTGTCTGGAGGGATGCACCACATCCATCTGGGATCCTGTGCTGGGGACAGGATCTGCCCAGAGGTCTCATTTCTGCTCTGGCCCCAGTACATCTGGATATAGCTTTTCACCCACCAGTGGTTGGAAGTTGCCTGGTGTCAATGGTAATACACAGGCAGAAACAATTCTGATCACCAAATCCCATTATCCTGTTTTATTTTAATGTTCTCGCTATGTATATGATGGCAGGAAAATAATCAGAAAAAAAAATCAGCTGATGGGCTTTCTGAATCCAGCTCACCGTTTGATTTTCTTCTAATGTAAGCAATGGCATTAAACAGTGTCTGCTCATCTCCGACCTGGTCATTAAAGACCATAGCTGGAGCCATGTGACCTACCCGTTCTAAGCCATATTAACTAATGATTTCTATTTGCTAGGGGTAGACAGTCTCCTTGATGGTAGCTCAGCTATCCTTTGGGGCTGATTTTTGGTTTGCTTAGCTAGTTTTCCTTCCACAAAAGAGATACAGCCCCTAATGTCTTGGAAGCTGGACACTCAAGGCTGCCTAGGGCCATAGATGTATTAACCATTGACGTCTGGGGCTTTGCTGACCCCAAGGGACTGCCACTCTCAGGGTTAGCCAATTCCTAGAGATAGTAAATAACTCACCCAGAAATGTACTTTTTTTTTTTTTTTTTTGAGATGGAGTCTCACTGTCACCCAGACTAAAGTGCCGTGGCGCCATCTCAGCTCACTGCAACCTCTGCCTCTCGGGTTCAAGCCATTTTCCTGCCTCAGCCTCCCAAGTAGTTGGGATTACAGGTGCACACCACTACACCTGGCTAATTTTTGTATTTTTTGTAGAGACAGGATTTCACCATGTTGTCCAGGCTTCTCTCGACCTTCTGACCTCAGGTGATCGGCCAGTCTCGGCCTCCCAAAGTGCTGGCATTACAGGCGTGACCCACTGCATTAGATCTGTACTTTTCAAATACCAATCAACCAATCCAGAGCCCATAGCTCCAACTACGTCCTTACGGCTCTCACACTCTGACCACTGTCCTCCTGCCCTAATAACCCCAGGGCCTGTTGTCAGACCATGAGGGACAACCCCTCTGCCCCAGCACTCTGAAATAATTCAAACCACCCAATCCTAGGCCTTCCCACCCTGCCCTACCTGTTCCTTTCCATGAAAACCACAATAAAAGCTCTTGTCCACACTTTCCCCTGCTCCTTCTGCTTCCTGAGTGACTCTAGTACTTCTCATGTGGCCCTGCATGGCGTGGTATGTCCCCTTCTCTTAGGAACTGTGAGTAACAAACTGTCTTCCACTGGAAACCATCTCCTGAGCTGCTGGCCTCAGTGTCCCTGAATTGTAATAAACTCCACATTGTAAAACTATGGACGAGGCTGCAGAAAGCCTCTAAGTTTCCCCTCTCCAACTCTGTCTTCAGACCAGCTACTGGGTGTTGAGTGGCACAAACAGCCACTGAGGTCTGCCCAGCCCACTGCCTCAGGCCTGTGTCCCAACTGCCTTCACCCTTCTCACCTCCCCACTGGGAGAAGACCCCTCCTGGCCTTCCCAACTTCCCCAGCATTCCCCTCAATGCATCCTCAGCCCTGCAGAGGGGCTTTGACACCACAGCTTCTCTTTCTTGAGTTCAATATCTGGTTCCTGCATCATTTGCCTTTTGAAAGTGCTCACTGATGGCAAAAGGAAAGAACAACAGCAAGAATTATCATAGGAAATCTTGAAAACGACTGACCTCTACCCAGCCTCACGTCTAGACTGGGGAGACCCCTGAGCTGCTGATAAGAGTCTCTACTGTGCCGCATCCTATGCTTGCTTCAGATGGGGAAAGAGACATTCTGGAATTGATGGTGGGCATGGAGCCACGGACATGGCCGAAGACCCTCTGTGTGGGCTTCCTGTCACTGAATCCCACCTCAAATACCAGCTGGCCATTTAGGTGGCTTCCCTTTAAAGCAGGCTGAAGGGCAGGCATGGTAGCTCACGCCTGTTATCCCAGCACTCTGGGAAGCCGAGGCAGAAGGATTGCTTGAGAAAGGAGGATAGTTTGAGTTCAGGAGTTCGAGACCAGCCTGGGTAACAGAGTGAGGCCCTGTCTCTGTGAAAAATAAAAGTTTTAAAATGTAAGAAATTTTTTAAATTAAAAAAAAAAAAAACAAGTAAGCTGAGTTCTAGCTTCCTACAGAATGATGCCCAGACCCTTCACATGTTGGGATTTCTGTATGAATTTAATGTAGTCACTTTTTAAGGAGAGTGATACATTTCCTGATGTACTTTAAATTGTTTTTATAAAGGCTTAATATCCTCTTCTCTTCCTGTCTCACACTGTTTTTTTTGTTTGTTTGTTTTGTTTTTCCAACAGACCCTACTTTCCCTTCTTCTTTAAAAAGGGCCTCTAATTTGGTTTCTATATGGGAACACAGGGTATGATCAAAGTGGTGTGTATGGGGGCTTCCTAGACAGGGAAAGGGTATGGTCCTCTATGTGGAAAGGTTGTGATCAAGGTGGTATATATGGGATTCCTGCACAGGCAAAGGGTATAATCAAGGCGGTACATATGAGGGTTCCTGTATAAGGAAAGGATTTGATCAAGGCCATCTGACCCACCTTGGCCAGGGCTTGGCATAGGGTGAACATGTGACTTGATCTGGTTAATAAGATGGAAAGATAAATGTTGGGGTTTCTGCCAAATCACTTGCTCCCTGATAAAAGGAGTGAGCACTGTGATGGCAACGTCTCCTTTTTGTCCCACTGCCTTCCTTCTCACGGTGCTGCCATGAAGACAGGTGCTTGAGCTGGGATCTTGAAAATACAAGGAGTCTTGCAGGGGTGCTTCCAGGCCATGGGACCACCGAGCTCAGGTCCTCCTTGGAAGTGGGAGAAGCAGCTTAGGTTTCAGCCACTGTTCATTGGGTTATATATTTTCAGCCACAAGCATCTTAGATAGCACAGCCTTGTGTGATTTCTGTAATAGTCTTTCACAGCGTGGAGCCTGTAGTCATTCAATTTGCCCAGAACTCCTTGGACTGACTTCTTAGCCCTCCCTCCACCCCAGGCCGCAGGGCTGTGGCAGCTCACAGTGCTAGTTTATTGTCCTTCTGTCCCACAGCACAGAGCTCATTGATTGTGATGAGCACCTCAGCATGTTTTGATGAATTTTTATATTTGCGTGTCTTCATCCAACCATGAGCTTCTCCAGGACAGAAGGAGGACGTAAACTCAAGCCACCCTTCTGAGTGTGGGGCATGACACAGGGCCCTGCTTATAAATGTCTGATGGATTTAAACTTCTCTTCCTGGAAATAAAGCTCAGTTCTCCAAAGAAATTGCATGCTTCATACAGTGACATTTGATTTTGATGTTGGAGGTTCAGCAGTGTGTACCAGCGGAAGCAGCTTGTGCTGATTAGAGGACATCACAGTGTGAGGTCATGGGATGCTCACCCCAAGGGGCCACTGGCATCAGCTCCCTGAGCCCCCACTTCCCCGTGTCTCCTTCCACTCTGCCTACATCAAACAGAAACAGATTTTCCTTCATCCCCCAAAATCTATGTTAACCTCCTGTGCTAGTTACTAGGATTGACTTTCCTCTCCTTAGACCAGGGAACCAAAGATAGAAATGCAAACCTATATGACCTGGGAAATAACAAAATCCTCTCAACTCAGTCCAATGCTCCCTGAAACTGATACTGCCTTCCCAATTCATTTATTTTTATTTCCATAGCATTTCCTGGCAATAGGCAGGAATTTATAGTAAAGTTCTGGGAAACCAGGAAGGTGGATTCCACTGGTTCCTGGCACATCTGGGACCGACTTGCAGGCAGACACATCCATGGGAGGCCCAGGGCTCTCTTGCCGGCTAGGGAACGTGGTTGTCTTGCAGGACATTCCACTGCTGTGACTTGTGAAATGACCTTCAGGCAGATTCTCTGACAATAATATGCTAAATAAGTGTACTCTGAAGAAATGAGATGCATCATATACAGACACTGAGGATGAAGGAGTGCAGGGAATGCCACTCTCAAATCTGCTGCTTTGGTATATTGATTATTAAGCCAAAGGCACTTGGAAAGCAGCAACTGCATGGAGAGGCTTTCTCTGAACTCCTTTAATCAGCCAAAGATAGAGCCCCCAAAGGAACTCAGTTTCATCAATCCCATCCCAGGGAGTTTCATTATACAGGGAAGAAGGCTGTTATCACAGGGGAGGAGGCTAGAAACTGACACCACACCCAGACAGACCTCGTCATCTATTCTCCTAAGGGGCAATTCATCTTTCCCCCAAAGTCATGACTCTCCGGCAAGTTGCCTGAAACCCCTTCCCTTCCGCACTATGAGGAGGGTATATAGGCTTCTACAGCTCACTGGGTTTTCGGGGAATTCACTTTACTTTCTTGTGATGCCCCAGTGCACATAATGAATCTGTGTACTTTCCTCCTGTTAATCTGTCTGTGGTCCATTTCTTTTTCAGAGACACAGTTACGGAACCCTCAGATGGAGAAAATGTCTTCCCTCTGCTGCAGGGGTGAAGAGAAGAAGAAGACCCCTCATGCACCCAATGCACCAGCATCACAAGGAATCCAGTGCCCTCTTGTCGCCCGAGTCCCACTGACTCATCGCATGAGACCGGAGCTGCCAGAGGGAGGTGGCACTGGAGGTGAGGCCTGAAGGAAAAGAAGTTCACCAAAGAGAAGGGCTGTGGCAGTGGGAGAGAAAGGGGCAGCTTTTGCAAGGCCTGGTCCATGTGAAAGAGGTGCCCAGAATAAGGTGAGGGGACAGTGGAGGGAGAGCACTGTGGGGGGTCCTGAGGCCTGGCCTGGTCCCTCTTTTGGGCTGAATTGTGTCCCCTCAATTGATATGTTGAAGTTCCAACCCCCAGGACTTAGTATCTAACTATATGTGGAGATGGGTTTTTTAAGAGGTGAAATGAAGGTTAAAAGGTAAAATGAGGTCATTAGGGTGGGCCCTAATCCAATCTGACTGGTGTCCTAATAAAAAGAGGAGATTGGGGCACAGACACACACAGAGGAATGACCATGTGAGGACACAGAGAGGACAGTCGTCTAGAACCCCAGGAGAAAGCCCTTAGGAGGAACCAACCCTGCTGATGCTTTAATCCCAGACTTCCAGCCTCCAGGGCTGTGAGAATAAACGCCTATGTGTCAGCCGCCCACTGTGTGGCACTTTGTGGTGGCAGCCCAAGCTGATTAATACAGGCCCTGTTCAGCCACCTCTGCACTGTGTGAGTTTAGCAAGCCCCCATTCTGTTGTCTCTCCGGGTGGGCGGCGGGGCTCCCCATGTCCATCCCCAGCAGTGGTGCTCTCAGAAAGTACATTTCTACATTTCCTTGGGACTCGGTGGGTTTTGTGAAGCTGGGCCTGAGATCTGTGGATCTGCATGGCCCTGTGATCCAGGGCTTTTCACAGAGAGGTGGGAGCAGAGCAGAATTAAGGTCACGATCAAGCAAGGGCCAAGAAAGCTGCAAAGAGGAGATATGATGATTACAGAAACATGTGCAGGTGGTTATGGCAGCCGGCTCCTTACTGGAGCAAACAGGCATCCTGTGAGAATGTCAGTGGTTTCCTGCTTCCCAGCCATCCTGGAAGAGAACTCTGAGCCTGGGGGATGGGCCAGTATTCCCCACACGGGCCTGGTCATGTATCTGGGATCCCCGCTGCCCCCTTCAAGTGCTGCTTCCCACTCACTGGCTGGATCTAGTCCTTCCCAGGCAGGGGCTGGGGCAGAGTGTGAAACCCAAGGCACAGGGACACGGGTTTGCATCCAGGCAGCCTCATCAGCCAAGGAGCAGCATGGTAGTTTTGTGACATGGGAAGTAGAGGCTGCTATGCCTCCTAATTGGGTCTTATGGGAAGGGGTCAGGCAAACTTCTTGAAGGAAACATCATTTCTACTAAATCCAGACAAGGTGAGGAGGATTTGATTAGACACAAGAGGGAAGGGACAAACTTGCAAGTAGAGTCTGTGTGTTCAAAGGCAGGTGAGGCTGAGGGGCACCGAGAGAGGTGAGGGAGGCTCCCAGCACGCATAGTGTGAGGACAAATAGGCTTTCCTTCCAGAAGGTGCAGTGCAGCCATCCCAACTGGTCTCTCACCACCCTGGGGCACCTCCCTCTTCCCTGCCTCTGCAGCTGGGCAGGCTCACTGTGGAGTGATAGTGACTTGGCTTACAGACCTGTGCAGCCTGCTTCTCCCTTACCAGAAGGACATGTGAGTCAGGGGAGGCTGCCCCTGCCCAGCTTTGGGAAATTTAGCAAAGTCTGGTGATAACATAGACTCTCCACACAGCATTCAATGCAAATAGAAAATTAATCTCTGATGCAATTGGGCATTCATACATGCCAGTAAGTTCTGTGCTTTATTTTAAGGTACCTCACCTGCCTGGCATTAGTTGGGAGAATTATTAACCATCATTAAATGATTAACCATCATCATTAAAATGGTAGCCTGCTGCTACCCAGCCAAGAGCATGCTCTGTGGAGTTACTCACGTGAGAAAAAACTTGTCAGCAAAAGAATGCACCTGCAACCCAGAGCATCTACCCTTAACGACTTTCTATTTCAGCCTCCTTGTTACAACCACGATTTTCTTTCACTATCTAGGACAATACATATGCCACAGGAGTCTCTCAACTTCAGGTTAATCACTGCCCATCTCTCTAAGGTCAGACCTTCAGAATCCATCCTTTCATAAAGTTCATTTAATGTATGTTTAAATCTCTGTCATTTGCTCACTGTGTGACTTCAGGCAAGTTATTGAACCTCAATTTTCTTATCTGTAAAATGGGGCTAATCATAGCGCCTGCCTCATAAGGTTTTTAAAAGAATTCCTAGGTGATGGGCAGGTGACATCATCTTCCTTCCTAAAATGGTGTTTGGGAGTCTTCTGTTGGAAGACTAGTCTCATCTCTCCTCAATCCGTGGATACAAGTAGGTGATGACAGGTTTGGAGAGACCAGTGCTGCTGTCTGAGAACCAGAAACAGAGGAGAAAAATGTGACAACATCGCATGCTGAGGGTGGAAGGCACCCTGGTGCCCAACTCCAAAGGTGTGAACTATGAAGAAGGGTGCAGGGCCACTGAGGTCTGGGGCTGCTGGTCTCCTCCCCCTCCCCGCGGCAGTGCAGGTGAAACTTCCAACAAGGGTTGGTTCTATGAGCCAAAGGCTTCTTGAGGGTCCATCTTGCCCACTCATCCCTGCCCTATCGTGATTCACGAAATTAGCCCTCCTTGAGTAAATGACCTGAATCAAGGTCTTACCAGGCACTTCCTGCTCCATCTTCAGGTAGTCTCACTGAGGAGGTGGGGTGTCCAATCGAAAGAGCCGTTCTGACCCTCAGCTTCATTGAGCCTCAGTTTCCCCAACTGTTAAATGAGCTAGTGGGACAAGAATGTCTCTAGGCTTCCCTTTGGTGCAAACTGAATTTTACAGTAATTTAATGCCAGTGCTAGGCTTGTGGTTGCTTGAAGTTTTCATCCACTAGGAAATGGGTTGAGAAACCTGTGCTTGATTTTAATTATACATTTGCCATTTTCTAACATAATCACTGCCTTTTTATAAGTTCATGTTTTTCTGTAGTTTGCAGCTTTCATTGCCACTGTCTCTTGTCTCACCCAACAACGTGCATGATGGGCCTTGTGTTTGTCCTCACATTCTCGATGAGATAGTGGTGCTGGGAGAGTTTCAGGGGATTTCCCACAGTTGTGCAGCTGATGAGAAATTAGACATGAGCTTCTTTGACCCCAAATAATCATCCTTTGCACTCAGCCAAGAGCAAGACTCACCTTTCTTAAAGAGCATCCTGGAGAGGCCAGCAATTGGGTTTAAGCTTTCACAGTGTTTGGAGGAGGAGCATTATTTAGGTTGTAACAGGCTCGGCGCCTATCAATAGCAGTGGTAATGTACATGCTGGCACCCTACCCACAGTTTCCAAGGAAGCAGGTTGAAGAAACAAATAAAGAAAGCAGGAAGGTGGGGAGAAAAGCATTTAGGGTTAAGGGGAATTCCCAAGCCTGGTTGAGATGGCTGCACAAAGGCACCAGGAAAAATGACTTCAAAGACACCAAAGAACCATTCTCAAAGGGCCTCGACGTTCAAATGAGGAGACAGTGCGGAACTTCAGCAGTCCAGGCCTCTGTTTCTAATGGAGACCAAGCATGCTGCAGGCCAGAATGTCTCCCGGATGGGGCAGTCTGTGATCAGGGTGGTGTGAGGGTGAATGTGACATGGGGGTTACCCAGGGACCACTGAAAACCCTTTCTCAGGGCTATGCTGAGCCCTGGAACACTGGGAAAAGGAGGGAGTCAAAAAAGCCTGGATGAAGTCACTGCTTTCTCCCTCAGGGGTGATGAGAACACCACACCACACTACCCTCCCTTCTCCCACCATGCTGGTCCTGCCTGTGCAAATGCTCTTCCCACCTCTCATGTTCCCCCTGGGGCTCTGGCCACTTCTCCCCTCCCAGCTTGGTGGGTCCCTGTGCAGGGCATCTTGTTCCAGCCTCTCTGCCTTTGTTCACAGCTTGCTGCTCAGATATCGCCGGCTCTGAGAAGCCTTCCTAGACTCAACCACTCAGTCTTTCACTCATCCACTTATTTAGTAAGCACCTCTCTATGCCAGCCACTGACGGGGATATGGGCAAAGTAGAGAGCTTTTGTGAGACCGAAGACATCACTTGAGGCTGAGGAGCTGATTTTAGGAAAAAGACACAAAATTATGCATACCAAATTAGGTGCAAGGTCCTGGAGAAGTTGTGACTGCGTGGGCACGCATCATGAGTTTCCTGATAACACACCCAGATTGCAGGGAAGGCCTGCCCTTGGGTGGGGCACCTGCATTCCAGTGGGGACAGGGGATGGTAAATAGAACAGTAAACACACACGTTTCAGAGAATCATGCTGTAGAGAAAAACTAGCAGGGTAGAGACCAGAAGGTTTGGGTGCAGGTGCTCAGAGCTGCGTGCTGTGACAGAGGACTCTGAGCCATGGGGCACATGAACAGGTGGTGACGTGTCCAGGTGGAGGGAACAGCAAATGGGAAATCCAGAAGGCAGAGTGGAGGGAAGGAGCTCAGGTCACAGAGGAGCCATGTGGGGCAGGGGTGGGTGGGGTGATACACCAGCTTGGGGCCATTCTGAGGGCCTTTGAGTGAGACAGAAAGGCAGGGACAGTAACATACTTGACTCAGGTGTTTCAGCCTCATCTTGTCCTTCCCTGTCATTGCGCACCATTTTTAAGTCATTCACTGTATTAAAAGGTAAACTTAGGTATGCCAACATTTTAATAATTTCTTTGAGCATTCAGAGATTCATGAATCAAGCAGCATCAGACCTCAAGTGCTTCACTGCTTCAGCCAAGAAGTGCTTGGGGAACGTTTATTAAGGTATTTCAGAAGAGAGACAAAGAAAATAGTTGATTGGTTCAAGTGGAAAATTCCGACTTGGAGGTGAGTAGGTGGTTTCTGATTGATTAACCTGAAGTTTCATTTTGCTGTTTGCATCGAGTTGGGTTTCTGTTTGCTTCAGTAGGAACCCACCTCAGCCTAATGGCTTCCCAATTCATTATTTTAACAACTGCATTCCATTTTCCTAATGTGTATATATGACCAACATTCCTGCTTTACCATAAACTTCTTGAAGGCCTCAAACACAAATTCATCTAAATATCATTTTTTCTTGCCCCACCTCTTAGACTCTTAGCAAAAGGCCTGGCGTGTATCAGGTGCTCATTAAAGGCTCTGTAAAGTAGAAGATGTAGGAACATGGTTCTGCATCATTTTTCTCTGTCTCTCTCTTTGAAGACATGACTAGAAATCATTTAATTTAGAACACATTCCTCCAGGCAGTTTCATGCTATGCCAATTCCTGGAGATATGTAAAGGCATTATCTCCACTGTCATGAGAGGAGGGCGGCGCAAAAGCCCCGCAGAACTCCACGTGCTCAGGTGTCTACCAGGAAAGTACGGCTCATCAGCTGCACAGGGTTGAGCAACCTGTGATTTCATTTGGCCTCTTCCTAGATAAATGGTAAATTCTAATGACACAGCAGGAATTTCAGGGCTTAGGGAGGGGATGGAACAAGATCACAACATGGAGAGAGGCCTTTGGGTGGGCGATGGCTGTGGGACATACGAACGAGGGGTGGGTGAGGGAGGCAACTGGATTTCCCTAACATGATTAAATGAATGGAGAATAAGTGTTTAAATGTTCTAATTTCAAAGTTCAAGAAGATAGCTCTATGATTCGTGGAAGTTTTCTTTTTTAAATAAAAAGATGTGGCTGAGAACGTGAAAGACAGGGAAAAGGAGAGCAGCTGCACCGCCCTGGGTTCTGGCCCTGGAGACTCCCAGCCTTTTGTGGCCTGGAGGCTTCCACTGCCAGCTCAGCTAAGCAGGACCGGAGCCACACTCCGCTGGGCATTTCAGAGGGGCAGTGGGGGCTGCACGAAGGAAATTGAGCTCCTGTCTATGGAGCATGGCTGTTAAGAAAGAGCCAGAAGGAGGGCTGTGGCCTGGGCGTATGTGTGTGTGTGTGGATGTGTGTGTGTGTGGATGTGTGTGTGTGCTATGTATATATGTGTGCCTGTGTATGTGTGGAGATTATAGGAAGAAGAAACTAGGGCCTACTTTTCTGTGATTGGTAAAGGACAGTAGGAAGGTCAGCAGAAGATGAATTCATTTGGGAGAAAGAAGAATAAACCAAACTTGTAAAACAAATGCATATGCTCTTGTTGCCTGTCCTAAGATGAATTCCATCTCTATCAACATCCTAGAAGATGTATTTAAATTTATATCTGAACCAGAAAGCAAGGAATGACATCATCTGAGGAGCAGAGACTAGAAGGATTTCTTGGAGGAGAGTAAACAAATGGAATCTAATTAATGAAGAAACCTGATGATGCCAGTTAAATGATGCCCACTCACACTGGTGAGGGTGGATCATGTATTTTACTCATTCTATGGATTCAAACGTTTCTTCATTAATTAGATTCTTCACTAATCAATTAGAGTTTCATCAATTTCAGCTAATGGTTCACTGAGAGAGCCACTAAAGAAGTAAAAGTCATATCTTAGAAAAAATAGAGCAATTGGTTAAACACACACACTGGAAATGATGAGATTTTGAGGTTCTCCCCTTCTCACTCATTAATGGAATGGGCAGCTGCAGAAAGTTCTGGAAATGTGCTGGTGTTCAGAAGCAAGGCAGAGACTCTGAATGCCCAGCATCCAGAGGAAATGAGGCCAGGCCACCTGCAGCCCGTCCTGAGTGCTGGGTCCCACAGGGGCTGAGAAACTCATACCCATCAAGAACTGTGAGATCCAGATATTTGGTTACAGAAGTGACACACACGCAAGTCACCACATGTATATCAGAAACCAACACAAATAAGTAGGAATATATTTGAAATTTAAATTAAGATTAGTATCTTCAAAGAGATTTGAGAAGATGGGCAGGTATTAAAAAGGTATTTTTAAAAAATCAATAGATAGGCTGAAAAACAGCTTTTAAAAAAAGAACAAAGCAATGCAAAAAAACAAATTAGTAAATTGAAAGAAGGGAAAGAGTTTTTCCAAGAATCAAGACAAAAGGGCAAAGAAGTAGAAACTACAGCAACAACAGCAAAACAAACAAACAGCAACAAAACACAAAAATGAAATTAGCTGCAGAAGTCCCAATTGCCAAAAACATCCCAGAGGGCAAGAATATGACAGCCTAATTTATCTTGTCCAAAGGAAACCTGCACTCATAACAATATCTATTTCTCTTCAGTCAGTGATTGTCCCTCCCATATTAAGAATCCTTTAGGCCTAAAATTAAGATGAGGGGCTAAAAGCCTTCAGAAAGAGGGCCAACTATAAAAGTTTCTACGTGATCTCACCCCTGCAGATTGAGGTCTCCAGGACTGAATCACTGTCAATGCATGGGCATGCAGCTTCTGTTCTTTCCAACTGTGTCTTTCCTTGCTTAAGAGTGCCCACATGACCCGCAGTTTATCTGATTGAATTAAGGCCTATGAAACCCAATATAGTGTAACTGGCTATTCTCTGCTTCATGCTGAACTTACCAGCTTTGTGGTAAATAAAAGACCACTGGAATCTCTGAAAGAACAAACTAGAAATATCCATTTTTTATAAAATATTCTGAGACAAAAGGAATTCTGGGATAAGATGGACATGATAATTATGAAATCAGCTTTAACAATTTTCACGAAATTTTTTCTCTCTCAGCCAGGCTTGGACTGGAGTAATTCTTGACACCTTGGAATATTAGGTGAGGTGTATTTAGGGCTGTTCACATCCCCTGTGTTACTTTTAAAGTTGCCTTCAGTCTCCAACATAGTCATGGCTTCTTAAAGGAGGAAGTGAAGAGGTGACGGATGGGCGCTCTGTCAACAATATTCCAAAGCTGCTGTATTAGTCAGGCCTCTCTCAGAAACAGAACCATCTGTCTCCTAATATCTCCTGTTGGTCTGTTTCCTGGAGGTCCCTGACTAACTTGACTAACGCAGCAAGTTTGGAAGATAGATAGATAGATAGATAGATAGATAGATAGATAGATAGATAGTTAAAATTAGTTCACAAGGCTGTGGAGGCTGACAGGGCCAAGATCTACAATTAGTAGGCTTGAAACCAAGGAAGAGTCAATGTTTCAGTTCAAGCCTGAATACAGGAAAAGATACCCATCTCAACAGTCAGGCAGGAGTTGTCCCTCCTACTCAGCCTTTTTGTTCCATTTGGACCCTCAATGTGTTGGATGATGGCCACTCAAATCGGTGACAGTGGATCATGTACTTTACTCATTCTATGGATTCAAATACTTATCTTAGCCAGAAACACACTCACAGACATATGCGGAATAATATTTGACCAAATATCTGGGCACCTGGAGCCCAGTCAAGCTGACATAAAATTAACCATCATATGTACTGTCTTCATCCATTTCGTGCTGCTATAGCAGAATACATAAAACTGGGTAATTTATAAAGAATATAAAATTATTCTTTCACAATTCTGGAGGCTGGGAAGTTCAATATGAAGGTATTGCAGATTATGACCCAGTTTCTCTGCTTCCAAGGTGGCACCTTGATCCCTGACTCCTTTGGAGAGGAGGATCATTGTGTTTTCACATAGTAGAAGAGTGGGAGAGAGAGAACTCACTCCTGAAAGCCCTTGTTATGGCAATGCTATGGTTTGAATCTTTGTCCCCTCAAAAATGCATGTAGAAACTGAATCCCCAATGTGGCAGTATTGAGAGGTGGAGCCTTTAAGAGGTGATTGATCATGAGGGATCTGCCTTCATGAAAAGAGTAATCCATTCATGGATTAATGGGTTCAGGAATTAATGGGTTAATTGGTTGTCATGGGAATGGAACTGGTGGCTTTATAAGAAGAGGGAAAGTGACCAGAGCTAGCATAATCAGCCCCCTTGTCATGTGGTGCCCTGTGCCACCTTGGGACTCTGCAGAGTCCCTACCAGCAAGAAGGTCCTCACAAGATGCAGTCCCTGGACCTTGGACTTATCATCTCCAAAACTGTAAGAAATAAGCTCCTTTTCTTTATAAATTACCCAGTTTTAGGTATTCTGTTCTAAGCAACAGAAAACATATTGAGACAGGCAACGTTAATTCATTCATGAGAGCGGAGTTCTCATAACCCAAACACCTCTCAAAACTGTTGCTTTGGAAATTAAGTTTTCAACATGTGGATTTTGAGGGACACATTAAAACCATAGCACTTATCAACTGGAATAATTAGATATTTCAACACAGAATCTAGATGTCTCACAACTATACAGTATATCCACAGACATCTGCAAGTGAGATGATTCCTTATCTGTTGACAACCTCAATTTCACTCAGGCCATGGTGAACAAGTACATGGTGACACACAGGCATCCTGTGAGCTGATCAAGAGAGAAACAAAGATTATGATAAGGCTCTTGTCCTTAGGGATTATACCATCACCTGGGGAGGAGAAAGGGGCATAATGAACTCTAAAGAAAGACAGATGTTTCCAAACACCAAAGAGAAATGCTCCGGGTTAGTGCTTCTCCAACATAAACACTAAAATAGACCAAGAGACTGGGGAGAGTTCACACATTGTCATGAGGGTGAGAGGAACTGCCTGGAGAAGTCCTCTAAGAGGCAGAATGTGCTAGCAGCCTCATGTCTTATTTCAATATTGCACAAGGGCAAGAGAACGCAGCTAAGAGCAAGGAATCAGAATAAGATAGGCGGGTGCTGGTGCCTCTCTAACACATGATACTGTGAAACCTTGGGAAATGAGTTAAAAACTGTACCTCCAATTTCCTCATCTGGGAAATGAGGATAACAATACACTCCATAGGGGCTGGTGAGGATTACACAACTCTGTACTTGTGATATGTTTAGGACAATGCCTGGCACACAGCAAACAGAGTGTCCATTAAATAACCCAAAATATAAATTTTGCATTTTATTTTACAATATAAAAAGTAATTTCTTACTAGTGAAATCATTCCTCCTATTCATATCCTATTCCTAACTTTATTACTCCAAATCTTTGAGGAATCTCCTGGTACTCAACCCTGGCTCACCTAGGCACGCTCGAAGAGTGTGTGTAGCTACAGATTGGGTATGGGCTCTGCTTTCCACAGCCAAAATCTGGACAAGTTTATGAGATCAATAACAATTCTTAAAAAAAAAAAGGCAAAAACAGGCCTGGCGCGATAGCTCACGCTTGTAATCCCAGCACTTTGGGAGGCCAAGGCAGGTGGATCACCTGAGGTCGGGGGTGTGAAACCAGCTTGACCATCATGGAGAAACCCCGTCTCTACTAAAAATACAAAATTAGCCAGGCATGGTGGCGCATGCCTGCAATCCCAGCTATTCGGGAGACTGAGGCAGGAGAATCACTTAAACCCGGGAGGCGGAGGTTGTGGTAAGCTGAGATCACGCCATTGCATTCCAGCCTGGGCAACAAGAGCGAAACTCCATCTCAAAAAAACAAAAACAAAACAAACAAACAGTAAAGCAAAACCAAACAGGTTCCTTAGAGTAGGAAATTTTGGAGGTTTTAATATGCAAATATACACTGTAGCCCTCCAAAAGATGTTAAATTCTGCAATGTTGCCCTGATTTCTTTGACAGTGGGTCCAAATTGCACTCCAAAACATGTAACATGTATCCTCTATGACACCCTCATGCCTCAAAACACAGTGTATTGAAAGCTGCTCTGGGTGACAGAGGTGATGAAAATTTTAATTAGCTGGATTATGTTGGATATTTCACAATGCATATATGTATATATATATCAAATTGTATACTTTAGATGTATACAAATTTTATTTAAATATATGCAATTCTTATTTTCCAGGCTGTATTCCAATTCTTATTTTCTTATATACCTCAATAAAGCTGGAAAAAGCTAAAATTAAAAAAAAATTTAAAAAGTCTAACAGGTAATTTAGGCCTTATATCCTTCTACAATTTATGTGCAGATGCCCTAGGAGCAGAAGTCATATCCGATTATTTTTATATCATGTACAGCAAATGGTATACTAGCCAATGCATTGTGTGCCTATTTAATTCAGCCAAGTAAAGACAAAAAGAAAGGAAAGAGAAGGAGAGAGATCAGATCCCAGGAAACCAAATATGAGCTACTCAGAGACTGTTATGTTTATGGAACACTGAGGCAACACTTGATAATATTTGGGGGATTTCCAGGCTGTATTTCCTGTTATTGTTTTGAGTTTTGTAGAAGAGGAGACATAACTCAGAAATAACTAGATAATTTAGCATGTATTTAGTAATTTAGTAATTCATCATGATTAATTTTAACAGAAAAAGATACACTAGTCACTTTCAAATGGTTTTTAAATTAAGCTAATATACATTTTCTTCTTTAAATACTTCTATCATATAAGTAATATCTTTCATTTTTAAATAAAGTAGGAAAATAGAACATTATATATAGACATTTATAAGAAAAAAATTTCTTGATCAGTCTTTAGCTACAGAAATATTTCATAAAGCAAAAAGCAAATATGATTTCTTTTCCCATAGTGTACATTTCCTCCTGCAAATATTAGTTTCTGCTGCTATCAGAAACTATTGTCGATGTTTGTTGTTTTATTTTGTGGTGGTGATAGTGGTTGTTTATTTTACTGAATGAAGTAGCAAGCCCTTCCCATGTGTGAGGTTGTTTTCTATTTCCATTGCTAGTCCTCACCACCCTTGTGCAAGATTTAAGTTGTTATTCTTCACTTTCTGATGAATAAGGCCAAGTTCAGAGAGGTTAAGTATTGGAACTCTACAGCAGCTCAGATGGCTCTCTGTCTAGAGGCAAAGCTGTGGCCCCTCCGCTCTCCCATGCTGTTATTGTTTGTGAGTTACACCAGTCAAAACAACAGATTAAACACAAAAGATATCTGAATTTCAGGATCTTTGGGGGTAACTGATGAGGCCCTGTCTGGTCACCTGATGGTGAGACAAGCACAAAACCGGAGAGATCAGTTGTTCTGCTTGCGTCAACGTGAAGGCAGAACATTCTCATCAGACAGGCCAGTGAGAGTCATTTACCCATTAATGTGTTCTCCAGAGCTGCGGAGAATGTGAGCAGCACATTCTACTCCACAAAGCGGGAGCCAGCATTCAGTGCCAAGGTTTTGGCAAGCAAGGGTGCATTGACATGGAATGATGGGGAATTTAAACAAAGTATCATTGAAATTTCAAAGCAGGCACCTGATTCTTGATTGGAAAAGTACCTGGAAGACTCACCACATGGCCTTGATTTTGGAGGAGGATGGTTAACGGTCAGGACAGGGCAGGAATCAGGGATGGAATAAAGGAGAGGAAATATTTTTTTCAGACAGATGACTGCACCCCTGCAAGAAGAGTCAGGGCAGGAGGAAGGGCAGAGGGAAGAGATTCTAATGAGGTAAAGATGTAGGAAAATTTTTATTATGAATAAAAGTTTGAAAGACGTTTTTGTCATTAGTCATTAATTTATTCATTTATTCACTCACAAATCCAGGGAAACTATGGGGACAGGGCAAAGGTCATTGCCCTTTTCCTACTGAGAAATGATGGTTTAGTGGCAGTGAGAGACTGGAGCGGGGTAAGCAACAGCATGGAGCGGATGCCACTGACTGAGGAGGTGGGAGCAGGGACTGGAGGGAAGGCCCTGGGACTCTGGCTGTGGGGGCCACTGCTATAGCTCCCTCAACTTTGAATCGAGGGTCCTTCCATGCTAGTTTGTCCAATTAAACATTTATAAATTGATAGCTTAGACCCGGCTCTGTGGCACGCGCCTGTAATCTCAGCACTTTGGAGGGCCGAGGCAGGCAGATGGCTTGAGGTCAGAGGTTTGAGACTAGCCTGGGTAACATAGGGAACCCCTGTCTCTACTGAAAATACAAAAATTAGCCCAGCGTGGTGGTGCATGCCTATAGTCCCAGCTACTCTACTCAGGAGGCCGAGGTGGGAGAATCGCTTGAGCCGGAGGCAGAGGTTGCAGTGAGCCAAGATCTCACCACTGCACTCCAGCCTGGGTAACAGAGAGAGACCATGTTTCAAAAAAAAAAAATTATAGCTTAGTTTAGATGCTGTCTTGTATATATTTAGTCCTGTTGCTGTGACCTAGAAAATACGACAACCCCATTCCATGTGAAGCTCAGTCTAAACAGGGAGGGACTTTTAAAACAGCACTTACACCACAGGGGTCTCCTTGCAGTGATGGAGGTATGGGTGAGCCCTGAAGGGGAAGGAGGGGTTTGGCAGAGGCATTGGGTCTATTTGCATGTTGTTTGGGTCTATTAAATGTGATGCAGAAGTAAATGTGACTCCACCTGAGTTGTTCTCATTGAATGTGACACAGGCTCATCCTGAGTGTATTTATTTCGAGTACCACCAACTGACAGGGAGGAAATGTTAGTCCTCAGAATGCCTCATCTGTAGGGGAAAACACTTGATTATCTACTTGGCTTGGAGCTTATGTCTCCAAAGACATTCCTAACCTTTCCATGCTTCCAAGTGCTTGGCTAATCTCTCTCCTTTTTCTAAGATACTTTCCCCACAGTTTCCTTCAGACACTCTTCTTTCTGGGTTTGAGTGTGAAGACTCATATGTGACTCTATACAGTGCCAATGTCTCTCTGCTTCTTGATCTTTAAGCATTTTAGGGATACCCACCTCTAGGAGAGCTCTTACCACCAGTGTGTGCTTTAACCCGAGGATTGAGTTCTGGGACTGTGGCACGTGCATTTTTGTAGCTCTAACATAAGGCCAGGCATAGAGTAGGTTGAAATAAAATAAAATAAGGAATTAATGCAGGTATATGTGTAAATTGAAAGAAAACTAGAGAGCCAGCTGGGAATGCTCAGGACAAAGTGGGAAGCAAGTTCAAGGTCAGAGAGGCAGGCAGGGTAGCAGGGCCAGTGTCAGGGTGGATGAGAACATGGTCAACATCCAGGTCAAGGTTTAAAGAGCTGGAATTCAAGACCAAGAGTGCAGGGAAGGGAGGTGGCAACTCCAAGCGAAATTGCTTCAGTGAAAACTGATCTTATCTTCTAAAAATAAGGTATAATTTTGAATCATAGAATGTAAAGACGCTAACTAGAACTGGAAGAAATTGATCTATTCATGAGTAGCTGCATTGCCTCAAGGCTTAGTATTCCTAGACCTCAGCTTCTAATTTGTGAACTTGGAAGAATGTTGAGACAACATAATGTCAGGAGATGTGGGGGCTGGAATTCAGGATAACAGCTCCACTGCAGCCCAGCCATTACTTTTGTTGTGATGCAACAGCGTTTGGGACTAAAGTGAATGGAACAGGAGCCCACATGCTCTTATATCCCACAGTTGGCAGACAGAGGAGAAACACACTAGAGAGTGAAGCAAACTCTTCCCACCTTGGTTTCGTGACTGTCATGAGTGACTCCAACTGAAGACAGGGGTTGGATCTGGAAATGCATTTGCCTGCGCTTCTCAAGGCTGCTGAGTGAGTGGGTCTCAGACACAAGAGAGGTCATTGGGATGGTAAAGCAGGTGCAACCTGCATTCCATGGGCCACAGGGGCTCAGAATTCTCTAGAGCCACCCATGTTGATTGACATCCTGGCCTGGCATTCTTTCCCTTCTCATTGTAAACAGTCCCCACCCCAAAACTTTGCTTGTGCCCCTCCATAATCCCTTTCTCTTGGCCCTTCACAGGCAACCACTGGTTTGCTTTCTGTCACTTTGGATTAATTTTCCTTTATTTTTTGGTCTGGTGTCTTTCACTCAGCATAATTACTTTGAGATTCTCCCATGTTGTTGTATATATACCAACAGTTCATTCCTTTTCATTGCTGAGTAGTATTCCATCAAATGGATATGCCATAATTTGTTTATTCATTGACCTATTGATGGCCATTTGGGTTGTTTCCAGTTTTGGGCTATTACAAATAAAGCTGCTATGAACATTTGTGTCTAAAACAAAATAAAATTAGAACCATACATTATTGCAGTATTGGCCATTATAAGATATCTGAATATTTGCTTTTTAAGCCTATTTGTTTAATTTGTAGGAGTACTTTGGTGTAGCACTGCTAACATAGTAGCTTAAAACATGCTGGAAAAGTAGTCTTTAAGTTATTGCTCAATTTGTCATAAAAGTCAGTTTGTACTGGTAAGCCATGAAAGTAACTCAGGAAAGGTGTTCATTTAGAGGCAAATGTTATGGTTATTGTGAGGCCACAGTGTTGCTTTGCAAAGAACCCGGGACTCAAAATCAAGTGAACTACTTATTTCCTTGATTCTGTGACTCATGAGATATGAACAGAATGAAGTGTTTTCCTTCTCTATATTTAATCAATGATTTCTATAGGAGGCATCTCATTGCATGGGGCCCAGAGTGTCACATCTAAACTCTTCACCACAAGTATTCCTTCCAAAGTCTTAAATCTCTATCAACTCTGCCAGGTAGAGTCCCCTCTCTCTTCCCCTGCCCCCAACTTACACTTAGCTTTGTCCCCTCTACTTTTCAGAGAAGTTCTCTTGGGCATGTACATCCTAGTTCTCAACAAGTCTCCCAGATTCTGGAGGCTGGCTCATAACCAATCACAGGCTCAAAACAGAAGGTCTTTCTCTGCAAACATCATTGCACCGGCACTGTGAGGAGCTCCATTGAGTTACCATATGTATATATGGAGAGACAAATCCATTATTATAATTGCAGACTTCAATACCCATCTTTCAATAATGGATAGATTAAGAAAACAGAAAATCAAATGACCTGAATAGTACTATCAATCAGTGTGATCTACTAACATATATCTATTACATTAATTGAATCAATGTTTAAAAACCTTCCAAAAAAAGAAAAAAACACCAGCACAGATGTTTTCAATGGTGAATCCTATCAAGCATTTAAGGAAGAAACAATACCAGTTCTCCACAATATCTTCCACAAAATAGAAGCAGAGAGAATGCTTCATAACTTATTCTATGATACCAGAATTTCACCAATACCAAAATCAAATTAAGACATTACAAGTAAAGAAAATTAAGAACAATTATCTGTTATGAGAATAGGTGGAAAACTTCAAACAAAATGTTAGCTTTAAATCAATCCAATAATGTATCAAAAGAATTATACACCACAACCAAGTGGGATTTATCCCATATATTCAAGGCTGGCTCAACATTTTGAAATCAATTAATTAATCCATCACATCAATAAGCTAAATTTTTTAAAAAATCATATTACTATATCAATTGATGCAGAAAACCACTTGATAAAATCCAAAACCCATTCATGATTTAAAAAAAAAATCCTCTTACCAAAATATTCATTAATTGTAACAAATAAACATGCCCTATATATATGATTTCATATATATAAATATATGAATATATATATGAATTCTTATATAAATATATGAATATATATGAATTCATATATAAATATATGAATATATATGAAATCATATATAAAAATATTTGTATATGAATTCATATATATTCATATATTTATATCTATATGAATTTATATATATGAATTCATATATATATGAATATATATAAATATATGAATATATATATGGTGTGGTTTTATATATGATGCTGATAATGGGGCAAATGGGTGTGAAATATATAAGAACTCTCTTTGCAAACTTTCTGTAATATAAACTAATTCTGAAATTAAAAGTTTCCTTTTTTAATTATTTTTCAATTTGGCCCATTTTCTAGTGGAGAAAGGAAGCAACTTTATACACAACTATGAAGCAGAGAAGAAGGTGGAATGTGAATTGTTCTGACGGTGTTAAATGGTAGGACGTTATTAATCTGGGGAAAATAAAGGTGACAAGTTGTAACTTTGCATGACATTTGAAAGCACTGCTAAAGGAGGATGTAGCAGGCTGCCTGGAAAGTCACCAGCACTTTGAAAACAGTGGCTGCCCAAGTTCTTGACTGTGTTGTCATACAGGTACCTCACTCAAAGGGTGGGTGCCAAACTGGGAGACTGTATTTGTGCTTCTGTTGTGTGTGTGTTGTTTTTTTCTTTCTTTCTTTCTAATTTAGTCTTCAGGTCTCTCTCACATGAGTGCGATAAACTCTAGCACTTCCCTGATTCAGGAATTTGGTGATAGATGTTTGCAGTGTGCCTCTCATAAGATACTTCTTTATCCTTGTGGATGGGCTGATACCTAAGTGTCACTTGTGACCAGCTATCACTTTCACAGAAACTGATTTTTACTGCCCTTGTGGATCATGTCTCACCTGTGTTCAGTTTATTCCTACTAAGATAGCCAATGTCTAGGAAAGCCCTGCCCAGGAGAGAAGTTATTCTCTGGTCTATGGATCAGATGAGAAAGAGGAGGCAACTCAACAAAATCCATGAAATCACAGAAGCAGTTTCTTACAGATCCCAGAGAGAAGAAGGCAGCATGCTTCACAGGGCCAGTGGGAAAGGAGGAGCCAACAGGGAAACAAACGTTCAAACAGTGGATGGGGAACAAGAGAGAGAACAAGGGACCTACGGGCCAAAGTGTTCATTGGAGTCCAAGGCATTATCCCAGCAGGCTTCCCAAGGGGAGTTCTAATTGATTAGAGCCAGCAGGCATCAGCTCCGTGCAGTCATGCTGCAACTGAGACATGATCACTGTGGCACATCTGTGAGATCCATGCTGGGGGTGGGAGTCAGTGAGGTAAGTCAAGTAGGTTGTATCCAGCTGTCTCATAGGAAAGTGGTCAGCAGGGGATGATTTATAGGGCAGATGTCCAGGTCAACCATGCTCAGGAACTGGGAGCAGGTAAAGAACTAGGCACCATGTCAAGGGTGACAAGGAAGTTAAACCTATATTCAAAGTGGATGTTGAAGCCACACAAAATTATAAGAATTCACTACAGCTTCCTATACCAGTCTGCACATTAAAATCACAGAAATACTGCATAGAAATACCAATTCCTAGGCCACCTATGGTGATGTTAATTTAGTAGGTCTGCAATGAGACCCAGGAATTTTTATATTTAGATGGGTGTACATTTTACCCTAAGCCTTTCGTTTAGATGATTGCAACCACAATTCTTTCAGGCAAATTATTCAACTACTTGGAATCCACATCCACATCCTTTTCTCCTGACTGAAACAGAGGAAAGTATTTTTCCCTAGCCCATCCTAGAAACGTATAACTCACTCACCGCTCCCTATTACAAAGAATACCCCTGCTCTATGGTTTGTATGGAATGTGACTCCAAGTACTGATCTCATTTGAATTGTTTCCTTTATACCTGCACGGCCACCTATGTGTCCCTGTCAATGTTGTTTTTGTGTTTTCCACATGTCAATGCATATGTTTCCAAGTACACGCCTGACAGCGAAGAGAAGTCTTTAACTTGATAAAAGTGAACCTGGATGTTAGCTAGTTTGAACTGATGAAGCAGTGAGAGGCGTCGCATGGTACAGCTTGCATTAAACTGGTTTGCACCTCAACTTCAGTGGGTATATAAACCCCCAGGGCCTTGTTAACTGCAGATGCTGATTCAGTAGGTATAGGATGGGGGTGGAGAGTCTGTTCTCAGGTGAGGTGGAGGCTCCTGGTCTTGAATGCAAGGCATCACTCCCTCTAGAAGAGGTGTGTACCCTTGGTCTCTGAGGCAAACCATTACTCTCCCCAGGTGACTGGGTGCCCTTGGTCTCTGATGTAGACCATTGCCCTCTCCAGGTGATTGTGGTACCCTTTCTGTCTGATATAAGGCATCACCCTCTCCGGAAAGTAAATCTCCAGTGGCTGGGAGGAAGCTACATTATTGATTGTCACTGAACACTCTATGAGACAGAGACTTGAGCGGAGAGTGTTGTGCCTTGTGGTGTGTGTAGAGTAAGGTTTGCCTTACAACTCAGCAATGGTGAAAGGGAGGAATGGTATCCCAGGACACCAGCGGCAACTCATATCTTCTCTTGAGAATTTGGTTGGGTGGGCAGACGTCCACAGTAAGGGGCCCTTCTTCAACAGCTTCCAGGTACCAAGAGGAGTCTCTCTCCCCTGTCCATGGTTTGAGAAACTCAGGAGGTGCTGTGTTCCCTGCAAGTTACTGAGCTGTTGTTATTGTTTACCTGGTCCCTTCAGGCATGCTGTTAAAAAAAAAATCAGTACTCTGATTTGCACAGATTTGCACAGTACTCTGATTTTTCACTTATCTTTGGAATGTTCATCAACACTAGTTTGTGCCCAGTACTGCAGTTTCTGCTCTATGTAGAGCAATGAATAAAACACAGCCTCTGTCCTCACATAGCTTTCACTGCCTTTCAGGTGATAAGCATGTCAATCAATAATCACAGAATTGATCCATATGGATGTGATGGTAGATGTGTTCACTACACAGATAGTTTTGATCACCTACTATGTGCCCAGCACTACTCTGGATACTTGTAATTCATCAATAAACCAATAGCAACAAAAACATAGATTTCTTGGCCAAGCATGATGGCTCACACCTGTAATCTCAGCACTTTAGAAGGCTAAGGAGGGTGGATCACTTCAGGACAGGAGTTTGAGACCAGCCTGGCCAACATGGCGAAACCCCGTCTCTACTAAAAATACAAAAATTAGCCAGGCATGGTGGCACATGCCTGTATTCCCAGCTACTCGGGAGGCTGAGGCATGAGAATTGCATGAACCCAGGAGATGGAGATTGTGGTAAGCTGAGGTTGTGCCACTACACTCCAGCCTGGGCAACAGAGTGAGACTGCATCTCAAAAAAAAAAAAAAAAAAAAAAAGATTTATTCTTAAAACTTATTTTCTGGGAGAGGGTAATACATAATAAGTAAAACAAATAAGTAAATGTCATAATATGCTGCATATTAATAGAGTCTATGAAAAACCAGAGCGAGCTAAGCGGACTTGGTGCAGAGGTACAGAGGAAGAAGAGGTTTGAATTCTTTCTGACAGACTGTCGGGAATGACTTTCTGGATGAGGTGATGTCTGAGGTGGGAATTCAAGAAGCTGGATATTTTCAAAGGTTCCCAGAAGACTAGGGGAGCTGAAGCACATCAGCTGAAGGAAAGAGCACGTTAACGGTGTCTAGCATCAGACTCCTTTGTGCTTCTGGATACAGCTGGCTTCCTTTTTAGCTCAGGAGTGACTGGGGAAACACAGGACCCTTGGTGGGAGGCAGGTGTCTTGTCTCTCTGTAGTTTCTGTATATGACACAAGTTAGTTAGGTTTGCCCTTGCTCCCAATAAAATATTCCTACTTATTAAAATTCTTTCTTCATTTAAGAGGAAAAGGCAAATGGCCACTCGTTGAATCTATATGAAATCCGAAATTGACCTATTCCACAATGAATATAGACAGATTAAAAGTTAAGTAACAACAATGCTTCAATTGGGGAGTAGTGTTGGCTGTGAATATCAGGCACTGGGCATGGGGCTTGGCCAGTAGGGCAGAGTGTCTTTCTCCCCTTCACCTTCTTCTGATAGGAGGAAGGCAGGGGCAGCCCTCGGTGAAGGTCAGCCCAGCACAGAGAAAAGCATGTCAGTTCCATGCTGAAGATGCCCAGGATAGGCAACACGGTGAGGCTGAAGACAACAGCCACAGCAGAGTGTCCCTCCAAGTTCAGCTCCATTGTGCCAAAACAATCACGCAAACAGAAAAACACATCTGACCACATCAGGGTGTGTGGCAACAAGTAGACTAAACATTGTGATGATTTTTAAATTTCCTCTTTTCCTCCAGATGTTTTCTTGATCAAACTGGAGTACATTCATTTGCTCAAAAGTACATGTTTGTGTTTTAGCAAGTGCCTGCATCTTGTTTAGCATCACATGGATGGATACATGCTTACATATAGTCATACCGTAAAAGCGCCAAAAAAAGATGATCACTGCTCAAACAACAGGACATGCTATGAGACTCTTTTAAATGACAGACAGGTCCCCCGACCCCCAAGCCGTGTATTCCTTCATGCAGTACCATAGGGGCCTGGACTGCAAGCACTGAGCTCGGAGGTTAAGGTAGTTTGATTTAAGTGCCCAGGGGTTGCATCTGTTTTGAAGCCTAATGATGGAAGAGCTCATGAGTGTAGAACATAGACAGAAATGGGAGAAAGCTCTGGTCCCGACACTGGAGAAGATCCCAATCTCAGACTAGTGAGAATATCACTCTAAGTAAATAAATACAAGGCAAGGTAATGCGTGCTGCAACACAGGAACACCCCAGGAAGAGGAAGTGAGGACTCTGCTGGGAAGAATTAGCTACAACTTTGGCAGAAGAGAGAATTACAAAAGCTATGTAGAAATGTCTACCATATCATTTAGATGAAAACAGGTTACAAACTGGTGTGTGCTTCTCCTTCTCAATTGTATGAAATATATGCTTATCTGAGAAAGATGATAATAATAGTTGTTTTAAGATATAGGGATTATAAGGAATTTCTGGGATGAGTTTAACTTTTATTTACTATTATACATATTAGTTTTAATGTTAATAATGACTAAAAAATAAAAATATCAAAAGTACAAAAATACAAATTGAAATATATAAAGTTAGATGTAAGGAAATTAACATGGAATTTGATGCTTTTCTCACTATAAAAAAAGTCACTCATCTTACTCAGAGACTACAGAATGCTTCTTTAGGGACTTTTCAAAATGACTTCTTCTCACCTGAGTTAATTTTGGTATCTTTCTGTCCAGAGTTAAAACATAAACTAGAGGCTATTTCCAGATCACTCTCTAATCCGTGATTTCCTTGGAGGCTTTTGGACAGTTCTTTCAGTTTGCAGAAATTAGCAGAGCCAAGGAGGTAGAAACAAGCCAGGTTCCTCAGTGTGAACCACTGTGTCCTCACACCTCCTTAGATTAAGGTAGTAAAAAGCCAGCACCACCCTGAATTGTACCCAGGTCTGAGGATACACAAAATAGCTATGTGTACAGGCAACCTGGAAATCAAGAGACCTAGATGTGCGTTTTGAGCAAAATCATGTCACCATACCAAGTGAAGTGAGGATAAAACTATACTCACACAATTCCTGTGAGAACAGTTTTGTAGACTGTGATGTGAAACATAAATGTCACTGTGGGTTGTTCCTGATGTCCTTCACATTTATTGGGTGTGGATGATATAAAAGCCATTGTTTTAAGTAAGTAGTATCTAGGACTTGGTCTGCTGGGCAAACAGATGTGGACATGAATGATTCCAATCAGAACTCCACCACAAAGTTAAAGAAGGTCTGGGAATAGCATCTGGAGGGATAGGATGGGAATAGTGGTGGTAGATGATGGACAAGCACTTTCTGGAACTGAGAAACATAAAAGCACTCGGAAATGGGAAAGTTAAAGGTGTGATTCAAGAAATGGCAAACCTTGGTACTGGACCTAAAATATGCAGCAGGTTCAGTGGAGTGAAGAGTGGACAGAGGAAGGAGATCAGGCTGAGTAGAGCTGAGGAAATAGTCTGGATTTTATTCCGAAACAATGGGGAGCCACTGAAGGCTTTCCAGGGAGGGCCTGGCCCATTCTGGCAGGGGAAAGACCACGCTGGGGTAGCCAAGAAAAGCAGAGTGGGCGTGGCAGTCCAAAGGAAAGTCGTGATGTGCCAGGCATTACCTTCCTGAGTGACTCTTCTAGGCCATTTTACTTGCATCCAGAGAGCCATTCTGCATTCATGTTGACATTCTAACTGAAGTTTTGACAGCCCTATGTTCAATGCAGTCAACAAAATCATATTTCCCCCAACCTTACAATCCTGCTATTTAGGGAACAGGTTCTACAATTGACCCAAATTATAGTAGAGTTGTTTTATTGTTGTTGTTGTTTGTTTGTTTTTGTTTATTTTTGTTTTTGTTATTTTTTGCCTATTGTTATGGTTTGGATTTGTGTCCCCACCCAAATTTCATGTTGAATTGAAATCCCCAATGTTGGAGGTGGGGCCTAGTGGGAGGTGACTGGATCATGGGGGCAGATTTCTGAAGAATGGATTATTACCATCACACTTGGTACGGTCTTCATGATAGTGAGTGAGATCTGGGGCTTTGAAAGTGTGCGGCTCCTTGCCCATCTCTCCTGTGCTCCTGCTTTCACCATGTGATATGCCTTGTCCTGCTTTGCCTTTGCTTTACCTTCCACGGTAATTGTAAGCTCCCTGAGGCCTCCCCAGCAGCAGATGCTGGCATTATGCTTCCTATATAGCCTGCAGAACCATGAGCCAATTAAACCTCTTTTCTTATCAATGATTTAGTCTCAGATATTTCTCTAGAGCAAAGCAAGAAGAGCCTAATACAACTATGTTCCACAGGATAAATTAAACTATCAGATCCCTTGATCCAAAATCTGATTTAGTGCAAGCCTTCTTTGAATTAAAATAAATTGTGTTATCAAAACACTAAATCTACTCACAGTGACCTTTCGAGGAGAAGTAGCACTAGATCCTCAGGAAAGCTCCAAGTCCAGGTCCAGAGGTGGTCAATGCTCCTCAGACCCCTGAATGCCAGGTCATGCCTTCCTAGCCTAAACAGGCTGCTGCATAGGAGCACAGAATCATCACAGAAGGGACCCTTGGATAATTAAAAGGTGTTACTTTTTTAAAGCAATATTTTTAATAGCACAACTTTCTAGTTGATAATGTGTTATTAAAGGAAGACAACAAAGCCTTCACTCAGATTCCCATCTGAGATGTAAACAGGAAACGGTGCTCAGACACAAAGCTTCCCAGGGCCTATGAAGGTGGTTCTGGCTGACCACATAATTCCCAAAATGTGCACCTGTCTCTGTGGTTGAAGCCATCACAACCTGACTGACCCTCTCCTTATAGCCACATGCAACCAACTTAAGAGCCAGGATATCTAACTTTTGGACTAAAAATATAACCAGAGAAAGCTAGGCACTACATGCTCTGTCTTCTCTGTTTTTATTTTCTTTAAGATGTTACTTTTTATAACCACAGTAACCAACATCTTGATAAGATTCCAATCATAGTACCAGAGTTTGTGTTTAGCCACTGAGTGCATGGAATGAAAAGGAAGCATGGAAACCATCTCATTGAGAACAGAGGGAGTAACTGAGGCTGGGAGAGCAGAGAGAAATCCGCAGTTCATGGTGGAAGGGAAGTCTGGGCCAAGACACACCAACTCTTCTCCCTCAGTAAATTTTTCTATGAAAATTAATGGATTCTGTAATCCAACACAGGGAGAAATAGGCCACATGAATCACACTGTGCAGTATTAGATTTAATCACATAGGTCTTTACTACTGCTTAACTCTGGGTCAAGTACTGTGCTGGGCACATGCCAGGGAAGATGGTACACAAATGAATGGTGCCTCATTGGCTTTGTTTGAGCAAGTGCACATACACAAATGTACACACATACACATGTACACGTACAAAAGTACACACACTCATGCACAGATACACAGTCACATGCACACACATGCACATATATACACACATACATATGCACATACGAACATGTGTATGCACAGCCATACCATCCATGGCACAAGATAACAAGCTTTCCTCACTGTCCTCATACCCCAGGCCTGTGTTTACATTCCACATGTGGATTTGATGAAGATGAATGAGATGGGCAGCCGGACATGGGAGAGTGAAGTGACTCCAGGAAGTGGCAGAGGGAAGCTTGTGCTGCACCATAAGAAACGTGAGGGTGTCCGTAGGCAGATGTCTGGCAGTGCCATCTAGGTGGAGGAAGACAGTCCAAATGTCCTGGAAGCATGGGCACCCACCCTACAGTGGGACAGCGCCTAGTAGATGAGGACGAGGGATGCAGCCTGGGAGAAAACGTGCAGGTCGTTGTCCCACTGACCCATCCTAGCACCTTCCCTTCAGAGGACATGGCAGGAAACCTGCTGCCTGTGGCCAACTCTGGCCAGGCTGCAGATAACAGGTTTTGTTTTGCTGCAGGGCAGAAATCAGATGTAATAAATTCAGAGAGCAGGTGAGGGGATGAAAGATTCCAGGTTGATAAATGATGAATTTTCAACAATTAGAACATTTCTGGAATGAAACAGACTTCCCTCCAAAATAAAGAAGTGCCTGCCCACTCCATAGCAATTCCCAACACCAGACAATGGCCACCTCTGGGGAAGAGATTCAAGCACTAAACTGAGGGCAGCTCACCTGCTGCCAGGTCTGTCCCTCCACCTCTTCTGACCCTCAACTCCTGGGTACTCACCCAGCTCACCAAGTGCTGCAGCAAGACTGTGAGCAGAGAACCAGGGAAAGTTCCAGCAGTACAGGCCTTGAGAGAGCATCTCATTGATCTGTTCCATTTTACAGATGGGAACATTGCAGATGGAAAGGGAGGTAGTGTTGACAAAAGCCCAGAGTGAATACTTTGTGTGGATTTATATTTGTAAACATGTATGTGCAGTATAATATCCACTCAAAAAGTGCACAACTCGTAAGTGAGCAGCTCTCTACAGACAGATATGGACATAGAACATTAGCATTACCTCCACCCTTCACAGACTCCTCAGAGGCCACCGCTTTTCAGAGTCACTGACTTTTTGACACAGTCATTTCTGACTTTTTGAGCCTTAAATAAATGGAATCATACAGCTTGGTTCTCTCACTGCACATTTCGTTTGTGATAATCATACAAGTTATCATGTGAAGCAGAGGTTTATTATTTTCCATTGAATGAATATAACAAAATATATTCATCCATTAAATGTTGACAGATAATTGGTTCCTTTGCAGCTGAGAGCTAGTGTACCATAGCTGGTCTTGTAATGTCTTTTGGTGAATATGGGTTTGCAAACCTGTTGATTACACGTGTGAATTACAGTAACTGACTCAGAGGGTGTGCATGTGTTCGTCTTTATCGGAGAATGCCAAAGCGTTTTTCAAAGTGGTGGTACCAATTTGCACATCTCCCAGCAGAGTTGTGCTGCATCCTACATGGAATAGACATGAGGAGGCCAGGCTGTTAATTCTGGGTCTGCCACGAGTCATTTTGACCCTGGGAAAAGCAGTTCATTTCTGGGGACCTCTGTTTTTCCCTCACATGAGTGCTAAGGTATCTTCTACCCTTAATTTTTCTCTCATTCTAGAAGACATACTGAAGATATGCTTTTATGTCTATTCAGGGAAACATACATATATTTATGGATTTATATATATATTTATGTATTTACGTATGTATGTAAGACGTATATAATGAGGAAAACACATTAAAAAGCACTGAATTTGAAAGTTTACAAATGTACTTTTATGCTGATATTATATACATCAGGATTTGCCTTATAATACAAGGTTTCCTCTTCATTTAAACAACTCTAAAAATAATGATCGAATTAACAAGCCAACAATATTGTATGCAATGAATAGGAAAAAAACTAACTGACAGATAGAAAAAGAACAAAGGAGGCTGGGCGCGGTGGCTCACGCCTGTAAACCCAGCATTTTGGGAGGGCGAGGCGGGCGGATCACGAGGTCAGGAGATAGAGACCATCCTGGCCAACATGGCGAAACCCCGTCTGTACTAAAAAAAATACAAAAAATTAGCCGGGCGTAGTGGCGGGCACCTGTAGTCCCAGCTACTCGGGAGGCTGAGGCAGGAGAATGGCGTGAACCCGGGAGGCAGAGCTTGCAGTGAGCCGAGATCGTGCCACTGTACTCCAGCCTGGGCGACAGAGCGAGAGTCTGTCTCAAAAAAAAAAAAAAAAAGAACAAAGGAAAACTCCTAATTCTGCCTAAGTACTTGAAATGTTGGCAATAAACACATGAAACATTACTTATTTATACCTTTTAGGCAGAGTATTGTTATGTCTTTGGGTTAGAAGCCCAATTTCTGCATGGCAGGAATGCCAAAAGCTGTTCCAAAATGGTTAACTGGGCCCTCAAGTATCTGTCATCGGTTCTATCTTGTGGGAAAAAAAGTGAGAGCTTTTCACATCAAGAAATCATTACTGCCCGATCTTAAAAGGGAAGAATGAAGGAATACCCAGATAGTATTGGTAGCAGGGAACAGACTTTTCCCAGCCATCTCCCTGGATTTTATTCTTGTCAGTGGGAGGCGAGGCAGACAACTTCATATAGAAACTTCCACTGGAATTGAATCTTCAGGGAATGTAGGATTGGTATAGACATAACGAGGCTAATAAACACTACAGCCAGAGCACGGTGAGCTAGATGTACATCGATGCTGCAACAACCCACCTGCTATAGAAGATAAGGGGGACCTGAGAGGGAGATTCTTCTCCAGGTTGTAGAACAGACCTGTGCAAATGACAGGAGAACTTGTTTCCAGGACTTTGACAGAATTCTGGGAGTTATTAATCATTTTCTGAGCATGTTACCTGTGTTCCACTCTGTATGTTTTCCCACGATGCTTTCTACTGAAAAGGGCAAGAATTCCTGGCAAGATAGAAGCAGAAACATGTGTTTCTCTACTTACCCCCTTCTGAGACTGACATTGAGATGAACAACAGAATACATGATATAGAAAAACTTAAAACAATGCTAGGAACAAGCCACTCACATGCCAGGAACAGTAAAGAACCCCTGCCAGATAAAGTGCATGTGGACCCAATTTGAAGAACTTCAAAGAGGGTGAGAATGAAGCCTCAAACTATTAATAAATTAGGCTATTCATGAAGGTATTGGAGGATGAGGCAGGACAGGGGGCAAACAAGGGCAACCTCTTGTGTTTGTGACCTAGGAAGAATTGGATCCTACTGAGGCACTGGGCAATTTCAGCATCCTGGCTCAATTTTTCCTGCCCCATCAGGCAGAGGGAAGGCAGAGATAGGCTCTGAGTGGACACCTTCACCAGCCAGAAAGTAGGGCTAGCCCACCTCTCAGCTCCCATGGGGCTACAACCCAGTACTAAACACACCCAGAGCCTTTTCTGTAATGATGAAAAATTATGACAAAAAGATACTGCAGTTGAAAGAAGAATGACACTCTTGAATCTACGGAAAGGCAACCTGCTGAAAACACTTTCCCCAGCAGAGAGTTCCTGATCCTGTTCTGCAATCACCAGGAGCAGCACATGCTCATGGTGGCCCACTGGTTTCAGGAATAGGATGAGAGACATGTGCAGCAGAGCCAGTCCAAGCTGAACTTAGCCTAGCTCAGTCAAACCTCAGTTGATCACCAGAGCTATGGGTGAGCCCAGCCAAGACAAACTTAGAAGAACTGAAGCCCCTAGATGCACAAGAAACAAATTGTTTTTGTTACAAGCCACAGATTCTTCCTGCTTTATTAACCAGAGAAAGCCAACTGATATATTAGACCAAAATGTTTCCACTTCCGCATTATTGGAATTTTAGATTGGATAATTTTAACTTAACAGCAATGTCAACCCACAGAATCTAATTGATATTTATAGAACACTACACCCAACAATGGTAGAATATGCACCCTTTTTAAGCACCCATGGAACATTCACCAAGATGGCATGCGGGAGATCTTCGTGGTGATAGAACAGTTCTGTACCTTGATGGCAGCAGTGGTTACATAAATCTACATATGTGATGAAACTTTATAGAACTATCAGTGCACACAGACATGAGTGCACACGAAACTGGTGGAATCTGAATAAACTCTATGGATTGCTCCAGTGTCATCTACTGGTTTTGATACTGTAATCCAGTTATGTAAGATGTCATCAATGGGGGGAACTGGGTGAAGGGTACCTGTGATCCCTTTGTACTATCTTGGCCACTTTCCATGAAGTTAGTGATATGGTTTGGCTGTGTCCCTACCCAAATCTCATCTTGAATTGTAGCTCCCGCAATTCCCACATGTGGGTGGTAATTGAATTATGGAGGCTGGTCTTTCACAAGCTGTTATCATTATAGTGAATACATCTCATGAGATCTGATGGATTTGTAAAGGGGAGTTCCCCTGCACATGCTCTCTTGCCTGCTGCCTTGTAAAACATGACTTTGCTCCTCCTCCACTTTCCACCATGACCTGAGGCCTCCCCAGCCATGTGGAACTGTGAATCAATTAAACCTCTTTTCTTTATAAATTACCCAGTCTTGGGTATGTCTTTATTAGCAGCATGAGAATGGACAAATATAGTTACTCTGCAATCATTTATTTTAAAAAAGTAGAACAAACAAACCCCTAAAAACAATGTATGCTTATAGCTCATATCCTCCTACCCAACTTCATTAATTTACAAAATAAAAAACCAGCCAAACAAATGTAATTTTGAGCTTGCTCCTTAAAAATTGAGTTTTTTGGAATCTGAATATAATCCCACCCTCATTTAAACTGCACTTGGAAGAGCACCTATTATTCTACCCCTTCTCTTCTTAAATGGTTGATTCTAATTAAGTGAATACTACCTGGCAACAAAGTAATCTTAAACAGAAGCAAAAATCTGGTCTTTGAAATTGCAAGGCTATACTGAATATAGATGTTTTATCTATATAATCCAGAATATCTTTCTGTATTATCAAAATGAGGAAACAAAGTAAATAAATGAATTTATAGAAATCTCACAACACTCTGAACATAATCTCTGACTCCAATCAAAGAAACGTGTAATGTCAAATTTGGCTCTGCTATATTACTTTCTTATATTAGTGTACTATCCAGTTTAGCCTTGTTAGCCTTTATTTATAGCCTAACTTTTGATAGATAGATTAATACACAAAAAGAGATAGAAATGCAGTTTACAAAAATGCTCACAAGTTAAGCAATATGATGTTTTTAAAACAAGACAAAAGGCTATACATTTGCTCTAAACCTTATCTTCATTTTCATATGCGTGTGCACTTATGGGTCAGAAGAAAACAAACCTGTGTGTCAGTTGTGGTTTTGTCTCTGGAGTGGCACAGCATACTTTTATATTTTGTTGATAACTTCTCAATGGCTTTCTGATGTATATAATAATATACACCAAGACAACAAAATGCATTGCTAGCAAAACTTGTCACAGAGAATTAATGAGATAATCAAGAGTGCAGATACAAAGCATGAAAACATTTCACTATGTCTCTTCTATTTCCTTCATCACAGTAAAGCATTTACTCACAAAGGATGCACGTATTCTCAAGATGTGGCAGAGAGAACCTGACATGAGCACCAAGTTCTTGTCCTGGACCAGCTCTCTTGTCTTGTGACCTTGGGTTACTCACTTTATCCCTATCGGCTTCATATTCTTTGTCTGTAAAGATGGGAAAAGAGACACATTGCCTTGAGGATATCTCAGCCCCATGAAGATCTGGCATCTTCCATCCCACTGGCAGAGTTTGGGGATTCCACCATCCCTCGTCCACATCCTTGCCCTCCCCGCTCCAGGGTTGCACATTAATGACCCCCTTTTCTTCCAGCATCTCCCACCTCCTCACAGTAAATATTCCCCAGTATTAATAATTCTAGTGCTTCACATCATCCCAGCTGCTGCTTCACTGTAAATCTCTAAGTAGGTGTCCTTATCCTGCTCTAAAGATGAAAGCATAAGGGTCCAGTAACAGTTTCTTCCCTGGGGTCACCTTGCCACCAAGATACAGACAGGGCACCTGCATCCAGGACCACTACTTCTAGCTCCTCACCATTCAATCACCAACAAATTCCTCATGGCTTTTGCTCCACCCTCTTCACACTCCTGAGATGGCTCAATCCACAGGCCTTGGGAAATGCCCAAGCAACAGATGCAGTGACCTTGTCAGAGTAGGTTCCAGACACACAGACTGGTTTCAGCCCGGAGACACATGATCTTCAGTGCTGCTGGGGAGTGGCATCCTGCATCTTGCAAGTCAGTATCTTGTAACCCCAGTTCATGCTAAGCCCTGTTTAGGTTTTGTTCCTAGTCCTGAGGAGCGGAGAACTGCTCTCCCCAATGATTATGTGAGCATACACAATGTGAACTCTGCCCAGAAGTTGGGTCAGAGGTAGTTAACAGGAACAAAACTTCCCTGAGAATTGAGCACTTTCAGGTGAGGGGTGAATAAATGGGAAAATGTGAATTAGGGGTCAGGAGGGTTCCCACCCCAGCCAAGCCTCACAGCTTTCACCCCAACTCTGTGTGGGGAAGATTTAGGAGAAAAAAAATGTGAAAATCAAAAAAAAAAGACAGAAGGTTTTAAAATTGGGATGCTTCTTGGCTTTCTAGAAATAGAAACAAATATAATTTCTTTTCCAAAACTCTGACAATGACTCACATGAGAATCCCCAAGCAGAACACTCAGGGCTTCTCATTTTGGTCTCTGCATCCTGGATCTGAGTCAGCACAGCCAACAGGTCTTGGGAGAGCAAATGATTGGAAATCATTTACATATCAAAGTTCTGGCCCAAAGGCCTGCTGTCTAAATATTCCATGGTACATATAGCTCCAGATGCTGCCAGTTCTATTGAATGATTTAACAAAGAGCAAGCCATGCAAATGCCTCCCTAATGACTCTACCAGGTGAGCAGGCCAGAGGCAGCAGACACCCCCCCCCAGTGCAGACACAGCAATGCCAGGGTTAAGGCACCCCTTGGAATCTTTCTGCTCTGGAGGTGGGGAAGTATTTCTACTGTCAGAGTGTTTACTCCAAGAAAGCTTTCAACTTAGCACAAAAACCATGGTCTAGTCAGCAGATCAAAACAGAAGTTAAATTTAAAAATTACAACATTATTCTTAAGCCATCGTGCCTGAAGAAACACACCTTTTAATTTATTTAATCTCAGTCTATGTGATGGGTATAAACTAGTGAGGGAGAAAAGATGACCTAGAGAGGGAGAATCATTCTAAACCATGCAATTAGGACTTAAGGTGAGCCTATGAAAAGTAATACCAGACTCTTGGAACTTACAGCAAGGAAATATGAGTTTATATATGTGGGCACATGTGAATATATGTTATATGTGTGTGGCTGAGGACTTTCCGAGACAAGTGGAGACTGGATTGGGGAGGTGCTTTAAGGAGCAGGTGGAGACAGTGCTATTGGCAGTTAAGGACATGGAGGTTGAAGATGATAGCTGCATAGACCAGGATCTGGTGGTGGAGGTAAAGTAAGACAAACGGATTTGAGAGATATTTAGGAGGGAAGTCAAGTGTACTTGAACACAGGCTGGATGTATGATGTCCAGTATGACTCTGAAACTATGATTTGTGCAACAGGTGCGTGAGGGTGCTATCCATGGAGGCAACAAGAAACCTTGACAAGGGACCATATCTGGGGAAGAATTTTGTCTTGTCTATTTTGGCTGTTACAACCAAATATTACAAACCAGGTGGCCTCTAAACAATGACAATTTATTTCCCATGGTTCTCAAAGCTAGAAAGTTCAAGACCAAGGCACCAGTGGATTTGGTGTCTGGCAAGGGCTCTCTTCCTGGCTCATAGACAGTACCCTCTCACTGTGTCCTGACAAGGTGGAAGGGGCAAGTGCTTTTATAAAGGGATGATTCCATCCATGAGGTCTCTCCTTCATGACCTAATCACCTCCAAAGCCTCACTTCATCCATCCATCCTGTGTTCAAGTACTCTTGACTTCCCTCCTAAATATCATCACCTTGGGGGTTAGGATTTCAACATATGAATTTCTTTTTGTTTTTTGTTTTTTTGAGACAGAGTCTCACTCTGTCACACAGGCTGGAGTGCTGTGCTGCCATCTCAGCTCACTGCAACATCCACCTCCCAGGATCAAGTGATTCTCCTGCCTCAACCACCTGAGTAGCTGAGATTACAGGCACACATCACCATGCCCAGCTAATTTTTGTATTTTTAGTAAAGATGAGATTTCACCATGTTGGCCAGGCTGGTCTCAAACTCTTGACCTCAAGTGATCCTCCCACCTCGGCCTCTCAAAGTGCTGGGATTATGGGCATGAGCCAGCTTGCCTGGCCTCAATATATGAATTTTAGGAAGACATAAACATTCATGCTATAGCAAGTTTCATGAAATTGGTTTATATTTGACGCACTAGAGACACCCTCAAGCTGGCAAGGATTTGTTTAAAATCAAGGAGGTTTGGAGTGTTCAAATGCAGGAAGGAGGGTAAGGTTGAAGATATAGTAGAAAGAAGGGATCATTGATAACAAAAGGTCTTATGAAGGCAAGAGGTGCAGAGATTTAGAAAGTACATGGGGGCCAGGCATGGTGGCTCATGCCTGTAATCCCACCACTTTGGGAGGCCTAGAAGGGTGGGTCATCTGAAGTCAGGAGTTTGAGACCAGCCTGACCAACATGGCTAAACCCCATCTCTACTAGAAATACAAAAAATTAGCTGGGCATGGTGGTGGGCACCTATAATCCCAGCTACTTGGGAGGCTGAGGCAGGAGAATTGCTTGAACCCAGGAGGTGTAGGTTGCAGTGAGCCGAGATCACATCACTTCACTCCAGCCTAGGTGACAGAGTGAGACTCTGTCTCAAAAAAAAAAAAAAAAAAAGGACATGGAAATCTAGTATTAGACAGGGGCAAGAAATGAAGTAAAGTTTCCTCAGTAATGTGACTTTAGCCAACTTACTCTATTTTTCTAAATATAGGCTCTTTCATTTGCAAAGTAAGATTTGTTTTTGCCTTCTTTGTGTACTTTCCTTCACTTACTCTCTAACTGCATTGGTTTTCTCTCCATTCCTCAAACATGTCAACTCAGAAAATAGCAATCTCCTTCCTGCCACAGGGCCTTTGCCCATACCACTTCTCTTCATAGGATTTTTGCAGGAATCTTGCTGTCATCATGATGAGATGAGATGAAAGTCCCTTCTGTCTGGCCACTCTCTATCTCATTGCCCTGTTGTTTTCATTGTATTTACTACCACCTGAAATTAGTGAATCTTTTTCATATTTGAACGGAACCTCCCTAAATGTATGATCTATATGTATTGTATATCATGGACCTCCCAGCACATAATCAGTTCTTCTCCAGAGAAAGGTCTTAGAAAGCATTTGTTGACTGGATGAATGAAATCAATGAAGGAATAAATATTATAGGTGATTAATTGAAATAATGAAAATGAAAATATCTAAAGCTTCAAACACATTTTAGTCACTAACAAACGTTAACTATCTTTTTGTTACTTGAATATTCAATTGAGCCATTTCTTGCATGTGGGAAGGTTTCTGGCCAAAAATCAGGAAAATCACATCTTTGGCTTGTCCGTGCATAACATCAAAGTATAACCCACATTTCTCCTTCACTGTGTATATCAAAATATGCCTGAACTAAGTGTAGAATAACTGTCTTTACAGAAAAAAAAAAAGCCTTTTTTCTGCATCTCCATGCTCTTCAGACATTGCAATTGACCTGCAGGGTATGGAAGGAATGTGTGGGATCAGCCACAGGTTGGAGTGCGTTCTGGTTCTACCACTAACACCTGTATGGTGTCAGGTGTGTTACTGAACTTCCCCAAACCAGATGTCCTTATTAGGGAACAAGAAGTATTAATCACTGTTATTTGATTTCTATTGATGCCATAAAAAAATTACTACAAGCAGATATGCAGATCGTCCTTAATCCATTACACAACACATTTGTGAAAAAAAAAAAGATGCACCCATCCAAGCAGGCCATTAGAATACAGTGCCTGTCTGCATGGACGTCAGCCCCCAGTGCAGCAAAACTCAGTTTTGCTGAAACCACAGGAAATGACCATCCTGTCCCCAAGGCCCATGTCAGTCTAGGCTCTGCTGCCTCCCAGTCTGGGCTCTCATGGCACTCCCATGTCTGGCTCCATGCACTGGTGGTCACAGAATAACACAAGAAAAGAAAAAATGCTACCCAGCCATGAACTCATGATTCTCTAAATGCCATCGGACAGCACAATTGTGTTCATTCACTCACTTATTTTCCACAACCCTTGTTGATCAGGTGCTGTAAGCAGGCATTCGTGATGCAGTCAGTTGAGACGTGCTGAGATTGGTGGGAAAAGCCAACGGCTTTATTGGGAGGGGCAGGGGTTAAGGGGAGCCTCTAAACTGGCAAGTCACATGAAACATCTGTAGAGTCCATCCAAAGCCAAAACCAGGCAACTGAGAGTTTTGTTTCCATCTTGAAACAATAAAAATACATTATTTGCTCTAAGTTTTTGAAATTGCAAGTCATTCAAATTGAATCTTAGCATTATCTAATTTCATCAAATGGGGCATTTAAATACCAAATTTTACATACACTGTGCCTTATTTTCAATTTCTTTAGTCAATTTTCCATTGAAAGGCAATGGAGCACAAACATAATCCCTCCTGAAAAACCAAGAAAAGTATTATGAGAAAAAAGTTATCCAAAATATGTCTGCGAAGCACATTTTCTTGAAGATTCTGTAAACTAACTTTTAAAATTAAAATGGATATTGCTAACTTTTGCCAAAAAAACTGATTATTGAGTCATGGTAAGAATTAACATGTATTCATTATTCTGAGCATAAGGAAATACATGTTTTTATATATGTAACTTGGCATTATAGAAAAAAGATACTAAATTAAGAGAAGGTACCAAATTGCTTTAGATACTAAATTACAAGATGCTAAGTTAAGTAGAATACTTGCCATTTGAATGCAACGTTCCTCTGGGCTCCCACTCAATCTTGACTTTGGATAAATTTTTTCTTGTGTTTCTTCCTATCCAGGGTCTTTTGGCACAGACTCTTCCTGTCTTGTGCTTTCCCAGCCCTCCTTCAATGCTGTTCTCTTGGAAACTCCACCTTTACCTTCCAATGTTGCACCAAGTTCCAGGTTAGGGGTGGGGGACACTCCACTCAAAAATGCCTGGTCTCCACCCACAAAGCTGTGGAATGTCAAACAGATGGGAAGGGCTGGCAGATTCAAACTAGAACTCATGGCTGAAGAGCCAGCTGTGTTCTCACAAGAGAAAGTTGCTTTCTTATAAAACTGTCTTCATTTCCACTCCCAAAAACATCATGCTGCTGCGTGCCTGTGACAGGGGCCTGAGCAAAAATGCCAACAATCTTGAGGACGTGAAGATACTGTGGCACATCTCTAACCAAGTGATGCCATCTGGACATGCCTACTCCAGGGTCTTCTACTTCATTGGTGCCTTTTTCTGCGTGCTTGCCAGTCAGGCCACGCAGGTCAGCACCATCCTCACTCCAGAGCCAGGGCTGAGGCTGATACCGACTGGGCCTTTGGCCATGGCTGGTGTGTGGTGGGAAGGAAGCCAGACTGGCCTCTGTGTCTGGGCTGCTATCAACCCTAGGAGAGGAATTTCCTCCCCCAGCCTCTCTGTTCACTTTTATCAAGGGCACTAATCCTTTGAGAGAAGGAATTAAATTGTTCTCTCTTTCCCCCCCTTCTATCTAAACCTCGTTCTTTTGTAAACAAACTTGATTTAAAACCACAGAGGCTCGTGTTAAATCACTTCTTGCAAAAACAGAAACACACGTCAACAGCAGTGGGACGTGACTGGCAGGAGCGCCTGTGTGTGTTAGTACCTGTGAATGCGGCTGGTCTTGGAATATGGGAACCATGTGTCCCCAGGTGCCAGACAGAGGCCGGAGGGGCCGCACAATTCACTGACTTTCCTCTGGAAGAATTCCTGCTGTTCAACGAACCCCATCTCTTCCTTCACCAACTCAGAGAAGCCTGGTGATGGCTAATACCATGCTACTGATGGCACCCCCCACAACCCGCATCCATAGCGAGCCTGCACTCAAGGCTTCTCAGCTCTGCTTCTCTACCCTCTATGTTTGTCCCCAAGTTCACTTAACCAGTATAGGGTGTGTGGCCATCAGCGCCTTTCACAGCTGGCGAAACCGAGGCTCAGGGAAACACAGCCACCCATTTTACTGCCAGCGGTCGTGGTTCTGTAACCCTAAACACAATTCTGGACATACAATCCCACAAACAAAGCTGTGGCCACCTCCCAACACCCAAACTGTTGAGTGTTTTCTGTGATCATCATGGTGTACATGCAAAGAGTGTTTACCTGACATAGGAACATGATTTTAATATGATGTTGAGAATGAAAAGGATAAGATTAAATATAGACACAGATACAGACACAGTTATAGCTACAGATAGGATGCTCACCCCCATCCCTAGTGAAACTTGTGCACAGGAGGAAAGCAATACCACTCTTTCCAGACCTGGAGGTAGCCCCGCATTTCATTCAGAGGGAGAACATCTAAGCCCCCTGTGATGGTTAATTTTCTATGTCAACCTGACTGGATAAGGGGTACGTGGGTAGCTGGTAAAGTGTTATTCCTGGGTGTGTTTGCCAGGGTGTTTCCAGATGAGATTGGCATGTGAGTTAGTGGGCTGAGTGGGGAGGATTCACCCTCAATTTGGGCAGGCACCATTCAATCAGTTGGGGGCCCGGATGGGAAAAAAAAGGCAGAAAGCTGCTGACATCTCACCCTCTCTCTTCCATAGTTGGGAAACTCTTCTATCCTTGGATATCAGAACCCCAAGCTCTACAAGCTTTGGATTTCTGGACTCGCATCAGATCCCTCCATGCTTTCAGGCCTTTTCAAGCTGAGAGCTACACCACAGGTTTCCGTGGCACCGAGGCTTTCAGACCTGGACTGAGCCACACTGCCAGCATCCCAGGGTCTCCAGCTTACTCATGGCCTGTCATGGGACTTCTTAGCCTCCATAATTGTGTGAGCCAAATTTCCTAATAAATCCCCTCCCTCCCATAGATATCTCTGCACATGTAGCCTATTGGTTCTGCCTCTCTGGAGAACCTGGACCACTACACCCCACTCCCTGACTCTTTACTCTCCATCTGGCTTCCTTATACTTGCTCTTGGACCCCCTGAGCTGCTCCCATGTGAGGGTTCCTCCCCAGGACACCTGCTAGGCTGCCCCCTCACCTCCCTGAAGAGGCCCACCCTGAACTCAGGAACCTGAATCCCTGCCCCCTCAGGCATTCCAACACCACTGAGTCAACCCTCTTGTATCTAATTCTTCTTCCACCTTACCATATCATTTACTTGCTTATTTAACCTTATTTTTCTCCCCACAAAAATATGTAACTGCAGGACAAAGCAGCAGTCTTTATCCCTCTAGTCCACTGTGCTATTTGGCAGAGCGTGATGGCAGGCAGTGATGAAATGATGCTGAGCCTATTAAACTAATTAGAACATGCAAATGCATGTAAGAAATACAGTGCCATGTGGAAGATTATGACATATTAGAAGCTGTTATTACCAGGCTCTTGGATTACTTTTGACTATTGGTTTTTTTTCTCCTTTATGTATCACGTGGCTATAAATTTTCCATATTTATAATTTTTAGTGTTTGTTTCTTCCAGCAAGAAAATGAGATGATAATTGTCTTTTTACTTACGTCACCTGCACTGTCTCATTGAACAGATATTTACTGAATATTGATTCTTCTACCATCAAGGCAAAGAGTTATAGTGTGGTGAAAATTCTAATTTAATTATAGTAAGTTTAGACACAAAGTTGTCTGTGAATATGTATGTGAATACTTTGCTGAGGCTTGACAATCTTTGTTATTGTGGTATAATTTTGCAAAACTGGCTGCTGTGAGCCCAATGGAGATCATGAACTAAATGATGCTTTCAAAATACACTGTGCTTTGAGTGCTTACTAATTATTCCAAAATAACATGTACGTCTCACCATGCGGTAGTTTTCAATGCCCTCATTGAGTTGTGTCTTTTGGGGTGTGCACCGTGCTCGGGCTCCCCCTGTATTAACTCTGGGCGGGTCACGCGATCTGTGTTGGCCAATGGGACATCAATATATGTGATGTCAGTGGAGGCTTTCAAAGACCTTGGCATGGGGGCCCACCTTCTTGCTTTACAATTTTTGAAACCAAACTCCATAAGAAGAAGCCAGACCAGCCTGTGGAGATCTATACTCCAGTGGACAGCCAGCATTGACCACCAGACACATGACAGAGGTCATCTTAAACTGTCCAGCCACAGGCAAGGCTCTGGATTAGTGCTGCCCAGTAGAAATTACAGTGATGACGGAAATGCCCTATAATTCTGCTGTTTTACAGGGCATCTTCCACTCCCATGTCTAGTGAGCACCTGAAACATGGCAAGTGTGGCTGAGGATCAGACATTTTATTTTCTTAAATTAATTCATAATTAAAATTAAATAACCACATGTAGCCAGTGGCTAGAGGCCCGGGAGACATCTCTTTGGAAGCAAGACAAGTAAAACAAATGTCTAGCTGACTGCAGTCTACATCCTGAAGCACAGGACAAAGTAAATGGCTGTTGTTTTAGTCACTAAACCTTGGAGTCATTTATTACACATCAGTTGATAACTGATCCCCTGTCTACAAGTACATAAGTAAAAATCTGACATTGTAGAAAAATTTATGTCTAATAGTTAGTTTACTTCAATATAAAAATCACCACTTATTCCATTTTTGGTTTCTAATTTGGAACCCTATAAATTCTTACATAAGGGAATTTATTTTCCATCCTCCTGAAACTTTATATGCTCTCCTGAAAGTCAAATGGCACCCACTCTTTGGTCAAACAAAAACATTTGGATCCAGAAAGCAGCAATGGAATCTAGGCAAGAAACTTATGATCAGAGCATATTCATTACTGAGAAAGCATTAGGACCGCATAGTCATAATCCCAGACCCATCTCTCATAGCTTCACACTCCAAGTTTAACACCTTGGAGTCAAATGCTAAAGTGAAAATAAAATAAATATAACTGTGAAAAAAGATCATATACAAAGTAAATAATTAAAGCATAAAATTCAGGTGGAAGACTGCCCAGCAGCTTCTGTATAGGACTAAGCCGTCTGAGCAGGGTTGCCTGCAGATCTCTGTTCTCTCACGGCTCCCGGGGGGTCAGCTACTGATGTTAAGCGAGAGACCCTTTCAAAGCACAGAGACCGTTCTTCCTACAGAACCCTCTCAGGGCCACTGCACAGCAAGTGGGATGAAGCAGACTGCCCCTGCAGGCGACCAACCATCAAGAAGGGCTGGCACAGAACATTTAACAGAAGGCTTTCTGTATGAGTCTGTTCTCATGCTGCTAATAACAACATACCCGAGAGTGGGTAACTTATAAAGGAAAAAGGTGTAATTGACTCACAGTTCCACATGGCTGTGGAGGCCTCACAATCATGGCAGACAGCAAGGAGGAGCAAAGGCACATTCTACACAGCAGCAGGCAAGAGGGCATGTGCAGAGGGACTCCTCTTTATAAAACCATCAGATCTGATGAGACTTATTTACTATTACAAGAAAAGCACAGAAAACCCCACCCCCATGATTCAATCACTTCCCATTGGGTTTCTTCCACAACACATGGGGGATTATGGGAGCTACAATTCAAGGTGAGATTTGGATGGGGACAGAGCGAAACCATATCACCCTCCTTCCCTCCGCTGATCCTAAGCTGAGCTGAGAGAGCAGTCCCCAGGGCCAAGAGCCACAGGAACTGGGAGGCACCTGGCCTGTGGATGGGGCACCTGCTCTGAGCCTCAGTTTCTCCATTCATAAGGTGGGAGGAGATCTCATGCCTGCTCATCCATAGGTTTGTCTTAGGGTTGAAAAGGGAAAGTGAGCAAATGCTTGAAAGTGCAGTGTGTTTCTGCTTTTTGAGATCCCAATCCAAGGCAAGCCCCAAAGGGCAGGACCAGGACCAATGTGGGGAAGCCACAAGCAAATTGAGTGTGTGTGACTCAACGTGAGGAAGAACTGCCTTTCCCATGGTCTCATGGCTAGAAGGAATAATGTTTTCTCTGTCAGAGGAGGCACTCAAGACACTGGTGAGGAACAGCTTGGCCCTTATGGTTAGATAAAACATAAAAATAATTCTTACAGAGAATTTGAAACTTGACTTTGGGCACTCTCCAGGGACACTTTGGTCATGGAGGTAGATGGTCTTCAACTCAGACATAAACATCTTCTTGAGTGTCTTCTTGGATCTTAGAAGATAATATCAGTCACAGACATCAGATAGGGCCACAGGTTGTGGCACAGCTCCAGAGGGTGCATGTGTATGGTGCCCTGTAGAGTTGTTCTAGCCACAATTATCAACAGTGATAATGACATCCAAGGGCACAGCTCTGAACCTACATTTCAAACATGCACTGTGGCACCGCCTAACAGTATGCCAGAGAGAGACTTTCGCATCTGAGGAGAATTGGATCAGGTATTCTTGGACCTCTTTCATCTCTAGGAGTCGGTGCTTGCACGATCGCTCACATGTGGAGCCTGGAGCCTCACTGTGACTCACAGGTTCACCTTCTGACAATGCATGTGGAACCGGCAGGTGTTCTTGATCAGGGAGAGGAACCAGATTTTCCCAGAAGCGCTAAGCTGTGAGCAGTGACAGCTTTTCTAATGTTCTCAGATAGCATATCTTTCCTGGCATTTGCCCCGAAGAAGGGCATGGAAAGGAACAGTAAGATCCCAAGCACCTGCCGAGGCCTGAGTCAGTCTAGCTGGCCACGTGAGGCTGTGGATAACACACGCATCACTCAGAGCAGTAAGGCATGGCTGTGTGTCATAGCTAACTGAGGCTAAGAGAAAACATACAAGTTTCAACAATGGAGCTATGTAAATTGGAAAATACCTCTGACTCTCCCATTAATTCTTCTCTTTGCATTTCATGGAATGTTGTAAGTGAAAAATCCATGTGATCGCCGAGCCACAGTGCTGGAAGAGATTGCCCAGCCCATGCTAGCCAAAATCAAATATAGTCATGAGCTGAGTAACGACATTTGGGTCAATGACAGACCACATATACAATGCTATAGCCTAAGTGTATAACAGGTGCACTAGGTTTACGTAAGTACACTTTGTGACATTCTCACAATGACGAAATTGCCTAACAAGGCATTTCTCAGAATGTATCCCCATCATTAAACAACCCACAACTGTACTACTACAGCACAGCTACCTGTGTGTGAGCTAATCATTCAGCAAGAGCTGCCCAAATATGTTTCAAAACTAAGCCTCTTCTCCATGATAGATGGTGCAAAACTTCAAAACTTTAATTACTGCAATAATTAAAAATGCAATAGCCCCATTTACCATTGCATAGATTATCAAAGATTTTAATGCCTCACCTTTTTATGGTATAGCCACAAGTGCAATTAATCAAATTAATTAAATTTAAATTTTATTTCTTTAAATTTAATTTAAAGAAAATTAAACAATTTTCTTTTGTTTGTGAAATATGTTTTCTTGTGAAAAAAGAAAAAGATTATTGTGAGTAAATACTCTCCCAGATAAGACTTCAGAAAGAACAGAAATTTTTCCACAGACTCCCTTATTGAACTAGGAGTAAATAAAAACAATTGTACTGCTTTAGATAGAAATAATACAAATACAATTTTGGGGGTGGATGTTTGTATAAGTGTGCAGATGATATTTATTCAGAGTCAATAGAAAGCAAAAATGATTCTGTGGTCGAGTTGGCTGTCCTGCCCGTGCTCCATGCAATGCTGTTCAACAGCAGCTGGTGTTCATTCCTATTGACATCAAAGTTATTCGTATGAAATTGTTCTCAAACTTTAGCTATTCAAACTGAGCAATTAAAGGACTTTTGTGATTTCGTTCAACTAGTGATGTTCAATTATCTCACTGTCAAAAACTCATTATATTCTTTCATACATTTCATTTAAAAAAATCTTCTGTTTATTTGAAGCAGTGAAATCATACTTCAATTTTGAAAAAAGAAAGCCCCCAAAATCCATGTTGACTTTTTATATGATTCATTGAGTAAAGCCTTTACGCTTCTGACTACTTTTAAAAATATCTTCAGTTATAGAATTATTTAAATTGAAAAAAGGTATCATTTTTATACTTAAGCTTGTTGAAGGTATTAAAGAAATAATTGAAGAATAATGTATCACTCTAAGTATCAACAATAGTAGTAAAAGGGACAACATTACCTATAAACAGAAAAAGAAATTTTGACACAAAGTGGACAATTATTACAGCATTTGCTGAGCCTACCTTTGAAATGGATTTCACACCTTAAGAATTCTTTGCTTTTTCATGGATGTGACTAATACTCTTCCAGCCTGGAAATAAGGAGACTATCATGTGCAATGTTGAGGATAAAGTGAATTAAAGTCGATGTGGATGCTTTCTTTTTGGCAATGGGCAACATTTTTAAAAGTTGAATAAGAGATGCAATTGAAATCCCAAAGAATGGAAAAGCAACTTATGTCATAGAAGGTGGTATTATGCTCCTCAACAAATCAAATCTGAAAAGCGGTTTTCAGAAAGGGTAACTTTATGCCAGTACATGGACAGCATACAGTTCATAAAGCAAATATTGATCATTTTCTTAGTAATGCATAGTCATTAGGCAAAAAAAAAAAAAAGAAACAAATGTGAAAGTGATTGCCTCAGAAGATACACTTCAATGGAATGGAAAACACACTGTATCTGCAAGGAATTTTCTGAGTGAATTCTGCAAAAAAAAAAAGGAATCGATAAGGGAAGCCAAATCATCAGGAAGATGTAATTAAAGAGGTAACAGAGATTTATAATTTATTTCAGATAGATAAAAGTAATTGTGTGTGAATATAAATATGTCCCATGCAATATATCTTGAATCGTAACGAATGCATGAATAAGCAATGCCCCTTTCCCAGCTCCTCAGGCTTACCTGCTGCCCTTTTCTCTCTCTGGTTGGTCTGTCTGGGACCCTCCACCTGAAGAGAGCTTCAGAATGCCCTCTCTGTTCTCTTTCAAGTATTTGCTCCAGTCTCAGCTTCCTATGAGAACTAATCAGATCATTTCTAGTAAATATGCCTCCCTCTTGTCCAGCTCTATGTTTTCATCTTACCCTTTCTTTTCCTTTTTACTCATCTGTTCTAAATACCGTGTAATTCCTTCATGCCTTACTCTTATGATTTGGGGGCTTTTTCCCCTGTTAGAATCTAAACTATAAAAAGTGGGGATGACTTTTGTTCAATAATGTATTCCACATGTTGGAGGCTTATAAGAGCCTCCAACAAAGGCTTTTATAAAACAGGTGCTCAGTAAAAGTGTGTTAGAGAACACAATGATATCACAGGTAAGATATAAATGCAAGCTTCCCAAGCTTTAACATCAGCCCACATTTGAAAGGGTTCATGTAGGTGTGCAGGAAAGCAAAGCCACAGTGCCAAGACTGTTGTGCTGCATCACTGCCAGCAGTGATGGGAGATACTGACTGATATGGTTTGGCTGTGTGTCCCCACTCAAATCTCATCTCGAATTGTAATCCCCGCATGTCGAGGGAAGGAGGTGATTAGATCATGGGGGTGTTTTCCCCCATGCTGTTTCGTGATAGTGAGTGAAGTCTCATGAGATCTGATGGTTTTAAAGGTGGTAGTTTTATTTTTCCGTGTTCTCACTTCTGTCTCCTGCAGCCTTGTGAAGAAGGTGCCTACTTCCCCTTCTGCCATTGCCATGATTGTAAATTTTCTGAGGCCTGACCAGCCATGCAGAACTGTAAGTCAATTACAACTCTTTCCTTTATAAATTATCCAGTCTTGGTAATATGTGCAAATGAACTAATACATTTTATAAATGTATAAACTTATGCATTTATGAATTGCCCACCTTGATAGGTGTAAGAATGGACTAATACACTGGCAATAGTGATGCCAGGGCTCAGGGTCTTTCTGTTGCTCAGTAAAGATGAAACACAATTGCTGAACACTCATGCACCACACATGAGGTCAACTTCAGCATCTCCTTGCATGAAGTGTAGACTTTTCTCTCACTCATTCTCCCACTCTTCAGAGCGTGGGAGTGCCTGAATGTTTTAGAGTAACAAGTGAAGAATGTATTAGGTGGGGGGAAAAGTTTCTTTCCTGTAATTGTTCAGGAATCTACTTCCTTGTTCAGAGGGAATATGCATTTTTATAATATTGGGGGTTTTTTTCTTTGTTTTATTATAATAAAATAAAAATGAAAACATTAATTGATTAAATCACAAAGAACTCTCAAACATTTGCCCATGTCAAGAAACTAAGTTGAGTTATACCATTCTCTTTCAAATTTTGCAGAAACTTTAATTCCTTAAGAAATTAAATAAAATTCTGGTTTCTGACCAAGAGAGGAAACATAAATGTCAGTCCTCCCCCAGAAAAGCAGATTTGGCTTTAATTTGGTGTGCTAATGGCAAAAATCCCATGAGAAAACCTGTTTTTTCTTTGCCCTTTTAGAGCAATCAAAACTCAAAACAACGGCACACTTAAATCTTGATGACCTATATCCCAGCCCAACCCCTAACCATTGACACATTGCATCCAACTCTGTCCTTTCTTTTCATGTGTCCAGAAAGAAGACTCCAAGAGCTGACCAGAAGTCAGAGAGAGAGATTTACGAGAACTATCAAGAGAGAGCTATGATCACCAGTCTCTTAATAATTCACAAATTAATTGCAAGCCTAAAATACAGTTATCTCAACATGCCTATGAGGTAACTGTGGAAACAGAGATAATGGAAAACAAAGTGGATTATTACTATTTTCCAAGAAAATACTGCACTTCCCTTCTAGCCCTGATGACCTGTGAGTGCTGAAAAGAAACCTACAGCAGTGTGGATAGAAGAAGTTCAGAAAGAAGGCCAAGCAGGGAAGCACAGACAGGAGGACAAGGTGTGGCAGTTGGGAAAATAAACCCTAAGACTGGGTCAAAGCAAATTAATCCCTCCTCACACGTGCACATAGACTCCACGTTGGGGGAAGAAGCAGGTAGGAATCCGATTCCTAGTCAAGTTGCTGAGCAAAGCTGGAGGACAAAGATAGTGGCAGATCCTGATGAAGAAGCTGGAAGGAGCTGGATGAGGCTGAGCAGCCACCGCAGGAGCACAGTTCCTTACAGTCATGCTGTAAGCAAGTACAAGAATAACTGGCCCTGCTGTCCTCCCATCACCAAGGGTAGGCCATTACTTTTATAAACATATCATAGACCCACCCACATCTTTCCAGTCCTGGTCTGGGCCCTCGCATTCTCTTGTCTGAGCAATTAACAGCCTTTGAATGGAGCCCCTAACTTCAAGGGCCCCCAACTTCAGATATCCCCTCCCTGCTGTTTCCAGCATCCATCCTCCCTATGCACAGCTACTAAAGGCATTCTTAAGGTTGGCCTATGTCAGAGCCCAGATTCCTGACAGTCCCACAGACTCCACAGGCCTGGGGAGGGGCCCAAGAACTGGCATTTCCAAAAGGTTCCCAGTAGAGGCTGATGTTGCTGGACTGGTGACCACAATTTCAGGAGGACTGAGCAGCCAAGAGGCTAAACCATCAGCACAGAGTTCAGAGAAAAAATTGAGGTCCTCAGGATGCACACACCCAAAACCCCATCCTAGAGCTGTGAGTGTGGTCGATGCCCTAACAGGAGCAATAGCAGGATCGATGGAACATAGGGTCCACCCCAAACCAATCCATTTGTTGAGAAAATAAATGACAAAGGTATTTTCTGAAATGAATCAGTGGTAAGGAAAGGTAATCCCTCATCCTATTTCTGATGGAGAGCATGCAAATCTATTGGGAGAGCAAGTCCCCTCCCGGAGCCCAGACTCCAGGAAGACTCAGCTCAATGCCTCCTCGGCTCTGAGGATCCCTCCTGCCACTTATTCTTCACCATGATGTGTTCATGTTTTTCTGCCTCCCTAGACTTTAAGGGTGTGTGAGCAGAGACCATTTTGCATTCACTGCAGAAGAGGAAGACGATGTAAAGATGGATGAGCCCAGTCACCAGGGTACCATGGGTCTCAGGCTGGCAGCTATGAGCCAGAGTGCTTCACTAGCTCAGCAAATATTTACACAGTTCCTACAATGTGCCAGCTGCCTTTATCCTAAGTGCTGGGAGTACAACAGTGAACACAGCAAAGTCTGCACCCCAGTTGGGAGGAACTCATGATCACATGTGAAAGAAAGCATGTCAGCAGATAGGACACAGAGAGGAAGTGGATGGAATGGGGCCTTGATGGATGCTCAGACATGAAGACAGACACCTCCTTGACTGACACAGAAAGAAGGCCGAGCTCATCTGCAATAAAAACACCAACAAAGAAAATGCGAAGGTCACGGAAGGATTATAAGTTTGCATCTGTCCGTCCGAGGTGGCAGCAGAGCCACTGAGTCCAGGACCAGGACTTGGTGTCCTTGAGCTGGAGAGTGAGCAGTGAGGGACAGAGTCAGCCTGCTGCCACCATCCCACCCTGACAGAGAGTGCCCCTCCATGGAAACAAAGGGTGTGTGCTTGACCCCAGGTGGGAAGAGGCAGAATCAAGCAGATTAAAAAGTCCTTGGGAGCAGAATTCCTGCACTTGGCTTCTGTCCCAGACTTACTTCTAAGTTGGGCCACTTTCAACCAGGCGCATGAATCCACATCAAGAGACCAGGGAATTCCCCTTAAAGAGCATGCTAAACATATTTTTCTACCTGACACCCAGAGCCTTCTCCAAATAGCCAGCATCTCTACGTCAGGAACTGCTGGGCTTCAGCATGAGTGGGGATTCAAGCTCTGGGCTCACTGCAGTCTGGCATCACATCCAAGCCCCACCCACACCCAGCTCATCTCAGCTGCCCAGCGCTCACTACCTCAGCTGACTCAAGCCCTCTTCCAGAGACAATGCATCCCTTAAATGAGACAGCCAGGTGGGAAGGGGCCCCCAGAGAAACTCCAACCAGTCTGTGCACTAGAGTGGAGCCACAGAAGTTCTGTGCTGTTTGCAGCAGGGAGAAGCCTGGCCCCTCCTCTTCCTGGGTGGAACCTGGGATTCAATCTGTGAGGTGGGAAGCGCACAGGCAAAAAGCACACTCTCTTGCTTCACTAAGAGTCTCTGTTACCCCTTTTTTCCCTTTTTGCCCAATAAATCCCATTTTTCTCACTCTTCAAATCATCTACGAGCCTAAATTTTCCTGGCTGTGTGACAAGGACCCTGTCTTTAATTGAGCTAAGGAAAAGTCTCGCAACATTAACATTCCTTCCAAATGTGCCTGTGGCTTTGTACACTTCTGTTTCTCTTGCCATGATATCTCTTGTGCCTAACTCTGTCTGGCAGGTAGTAAGTGTTTAATAAATAGCTAAGAAAAAAAAATTAAAAGGAAGGGAGAGGAGAAGGAGGGATGACAAGCTCACTAGCATTCAAATAAAGTCACAACAAGGACTTGGTGGGGTGGTGTAAGGATCCAAGCCCATTGGATAAATGGATACAAGATACGAATGTTCCCTTCCAGCCTCATTTGTTACATCTTTGACTTAAGCCCTAAGTGTTGAGCATTTTTCTGGCACTCCCCTGGAGAATCGCCTGCAGATTCGGTTACATGGTGGATTCAGCAGACTCCACACACTGAGCTCTGTGCCAGGGCCTGGCTGTTTTCTGGCTCAATCCTCTCAGCAGCCCTAGAAGTGGAGTTTGGTACTCCTGCTGTGGAGATGAGGAAACAAGACTCTGAAAATTTAGGAGATGGCCCCAACCTGGCAGCTAGTGGCACCTAGCACTGAGCTCCATCTTGCCCTCTGGGCCCAGAACTCCTTTGGTGCCTGTGGTGTGCCTGCGATTGCCTTGTGAGGTGGGGCTTACTGTGTAGAAAGAGCCAAAAGTATTCAGCAAGAGATCTATGGTCCAGCATGGTGACTATACTTAATAACAACATACTGTGCACTCCAACATTACTGACAGAGTAGATTTGAAAAGCTTTCACCACAAATAAATGACAACTATGTAAGCTAACGTATATGCTAATTAGCTGAATTTAGCACTTCCACAGTGTGTACATATTTCAAAACATGGTTTTGTACACCATAAATATATACAATTTTACTTGTCAAATAAAAAATAAGTAGTAAGAACAAAAGTTTTAAGAACTGTCGTAAAATGAAATCAAGCCATTTCTGCTACCGGACAGACTCGCCTTCCAGGCTCCATGCCTCTTCTTTCCTCTTGACTTAAACTAACTCCCTGGACTAAAACCTTGGGTCCTGCTACCTTCACCATATGCTGCCCATCAGCCCTTGGTGGCCCCTTCAACAGCGGGGCCTGGGCCATCAGATCCTCGGCCTTCCTACTGTGGCCTCTGCCTGCCAACTTGTCCTGACATCTCCCAAAGTGAAAATGCTCATGGCCAAATTTGGCCCCAGCCCAGGGCCTCGGCTTCGCAGCACGAGCAGGGCCACAGCTCTGGGTGCCTGAGTCGTGCGTCATCCACAAGCAAGGGCACTGCTCATGCTCCTGTTGCCAGTGGGCAAACCAGGGCAGGACTTGATGTTATTTGTCCCATTAATCATGATCTTGGAGAAAAAAAATCTTGAGATGACTATTTCAGCACACCACATAGTAACTGAATGTTAGTCACATCAATCCATTTTCAGACAGCAAAGGAGGCAAATTTGAAGAAGCAGAGTAAGTACTTTGCACTATGTGGCTATTGTTCACAGATAACCAGATGTTAATTAAAGAAGGAAAAGACTGAAATCGATCTATTACCCTGATTACACTAATCCTTCACTCCTGTTTGCAGATTAAATGGCCAATACATTCTATCACTGCATTGATTCAAACTATGGGCCCAGGGACCCTCTTCCTCAAGACTTCTAGACAGGATTTTAGTTATCTAAACTGTAACTAAATTTTAGTTTGTCTTTGTATCTGTATTTGTTCTTTCTTCACTCTTTGCAACCAACCTAGACCTTGTTCTTAAGGAGTGAGAGGGGGCAGAACCTTTTTTTTTTTAGTCAATGATGTATTTCCTCAGGTATCAAGCACATAAAGTGAACACAAAGGGATAGTACAGATTTTGGAATTAATTTTTCAAATTGTATTGATAATGGAGTGCTGACACTTGGTGAATTTAGTTCTTCTCTATTGCATCAGACAAATCTAAGGAGTGGAGTCCTCATCCATGTCGTGGAAGTCTCATCAGTGATTTCATGCCAAGTCAAGGCCGATGCAGAGGAAGTAACTGTGGACCAGCAATGAGAGATTTGGCTTCTATCCCTGTGCCATCCTGACTCCCCTGTGACTTTCCCTGTCTGTAAATGGAGAATCTTGGAGTCCCAGGCCCCAGCTGGCAGTCACGATGGTTATTTGAGCAGAACCCTTGCAGTGTGGCATGCTTTGGAGAAGAGAACCAGCACGTGCTAACAGCCATTGAAGAGCAATGACAGCACTGCTCCCATGTCCACTGAGGAACAGAGTGACTGCTGTTCCTCTTGCTGGTGCACCGTTCTCCAATGACACTGGCGGAGAGTCAAGGAGTGAACTGGGAGAGGAAGCAATTGTATCGGAAAAATATCGCCTAAACAGAAGAGTTCCCCAGAAGCTCAATGTGATAGTTAACTGCATGTGTCAAATGTGCTGGGCCACAGAGCCCAGATATGGGATTAGACATTATTCTGGGTGTGTCAGTGAGAGTGTTTTGGATGAGATTAACATTTAAATTAATAGGCTGTGGGCAAAGCAGGACCTTTGGCTGTGACCAAAACCTATCCCCATGGGATCCTGTAAGACACAAATGAGGAAACCTCAGCCTGCCCCACTTTTGTTCCCAATGGGGCACGTAGGAAGGGCAGCTTCACCATAGGGCTTAAAATTGGCCCTTAGACCCAAAGCACTTAGACCTGCATCCTACTCAGGGAATCTCTCCTTTATTATTGCCCCTCAAAACTTGATACCAGTTTCTCCAATGTTTGATTCAAGTATTAGAAAATGCTTCAGAATATCCATTGAAAGAGATAAAGGCAATAATAAACAACTCTTCATTAAGTATCTACTATATTCATAGCACTGTTATATCCATGGGACAATAAAGTAATTAACCTTCATGCTGAACTTTCCCATGCATCTTACTATTTGCTATTAACAAACATCTTGTGAGAAAAAGAATATAAGCACATGTTGTAGATAATGAAAATGAGTTTTAGAGGGTTCAAATTGAGTTGTGCAATGTGAGGAATGTGGAATTTGGATTCAGGTGGGCGGTTCATCCTAACCTTGAGAGTTTTACTACCATGAATCTGTCTTAGAGGAGAAAGCATCACTGACTTCCCCTGCATATTTATGGACTCAAATTCATCATTGCTTGGTCCCCAAGCACCTCCACCTCTATATTGGCCTGCAGCTTAGGGGAGTGTTTTTTTTTTTTTTTTTTTGAGACAGTTTCACTCTTGTCTCCCACGCTGGAGTGCAATGGCACTATCTCAGCTCACTGCAACCTCCGCCTCCTGGGTTCAAGCGATTCTCCAGCATCAGCCTCCTGAGTAGCTGGTATTACAGGCACCTGCAACCACGCCCAGCTAATTTTTGTATTTTTAGTAGAGATGAGATTTCACCACGTTGGCCAGGCTGGTCTCGATCTCCTGACCTCAGGTGATCCACCTACTTCGGCCTCCAAAAGTGCTGGGATTATAGGTGTGAGCCACCACACCCAGCCAAGGGAGATTTTTATATGACCATTTGGAGGAAAATTCTGTAAGCAATATAATTATTATTTTTAAAAATTACCTTTCTCTTATAATTTATAAGAAATATATCAGTCAGGAGAAAGAGGCAGAAAAAAACCAATCTAAGTAATTACTGGTCTTCTCAACTGTCAATCCACATCAAAATTAAGCCTGCTCCATCTTTGTTGCCACGCTCATAATTTATGAAATATTTGTCACTGCATATGCACTTTGCACAGTTGAATTTATCATGAGTGAAGTGTTTCATTTGTTTTCTCAATAAGCTAGCATTCTACATTTCTGCAAGGGTAAGTATGCAAGTTTTGCACATTAAAATATACATAGAGGTCTCATTAGTAACTTCAAAATATTCTCAGGTCAGTTTCTGAGGCAGGAAAGCATTTCTCAAGGGTCGGCTAGGTGTCAGGTGCTGGGATGGGGCCTTCACAGTAACAGACCAGGGGCTTCTTCACAAAGCCTTTTGTTTGGCAGGGTAGGGGAATGAGTAACAAATAAACAAGAAACTGCAGGACTATTATGATTGGAATGAAGAAAGCAGCCATCTCAGGTGGTCCATCAAGGCTCCTTTAGATCAAGGGAAAAGAAATGTCCCTTAAGGAGATGGCATTTGGGCTGAAATATGAATGTGAGAAGGAGCCAACAACTCACCTTGCAAACATTCTAGGAACAGCCTTAGGCGGAGGGACAGGTGCAAAAGCCCAGAGGCAGGGATGCTTGCACTGGGGCGGGACAGAGGTCAGCACAGCAGGGATGACATGGTTCCCTAGGGGGATGCGTGAGTCCTTTTATAATAAAATATAATAAAACAGTACAATAAGGCTTAATCTCACAAGCAAGTGCTCCAAGTCATAGCCGAGACAACATCAGATTCCTTCAAGTGGAAACTGTGATTTGTGGGATTCCAAATGAAGAAGAACCTTAATATTTTGTAAAGAAAAGGAGTAAAGTTCAAATTAATAGGGGAAAAAATGGGGAGACAGTTCAGAAAGCCCAGATGCATGTTAGGACTTTCAGGAATCATTTGAGAAAAGATATAAAATATACAGCTTTGCACCCCACTTAAGACAAAGCAGTAAACAAATCGATGCCATATTTGGTTATACTAATTTCTATTTTACTCTAATCCTCAACAATGCTAAGGGAAAAGTCCAAAACAGCAGAGCGTAAGGCTCTCCAGAGGTGGAAAGCCGTTCTTAGGCAATCATGATTGGGAACACATGCTTGGCGTCATTCATCACAGCAGAGGAATCTCTGAGGAAGTGTCATAATTGGGGGTAGAAACATGAACAGATCTGTGAACCCCCAAAAGTTTTGTTTAAAGTATTTTTAGTAGACAAATAATCATTACATATATTTATGATGTCTAGCATGATGTCTTGATATGCGTACACACTGCAGAATGATTAAATGAAGCAACTGAGCACATCCATCACCTCACATACTACCTACTCTTGTGGTGAGAGCATTTAAAATCCACCCTCTTAGCATTTTTTAAATATACAACATATTGTTATTAACTGTAGTCACCATGCTGTATAATAAATCTCCTGAACTTATTTCCATCTAATTGAAATTGTATTTCCTTTGATCAACATCTGCCCCACCCCTTCCCACTCCTCCCCACTGCCCCCAGCCCTTGGCAACCAGCATTCTACTCTCGGCTTCTGTGATTACAACTTTTTAAGATTCCACATATCAGTGAGATCATATAGTATTTGTCTTTCTGTATCTGGCTTATTTCACTTGGCATAATGTTCTCCAGATTTATCCAGGTTGTCACAAATGACGGGATTTCCTGCTTTTTTTAAAACTGAATGGTATTCCATTGTGTCTATAAACCACATTTTCTTTATCCATTCACTCAGTGATGGACATTTAGGTTGCTTCCATATCTTGGCTACTGTGAATAGTGCTGCAATGAACACAGGCATGTAGCTATCTCTTTGAAATACTGATTTCATTTCCTTTGGGTATGTGAAATTCTATGCATGTATCTTTCTAGTGAGTAGGTCTCAAACCTGTCTCAAAAATTAATTAGCTAATTAAAGGTAGAATACACTACAATGCTGACCCCATTTTCATTTATTTTGATCAAAATAAGAGATGTCAACTCAATGTTTTAATAAGTGAACTCTTCAAGATCTTCCCTGACAAATATTACTATTTGCTTCTAAGCAATGTCCTTTTACCCATGAGTTATAGTCTATGCTCTGTCACCACATTTCAGAAGTTGATGAACCTAGCAGACACTGTCATCAAGACAAGTTCCATTTTCCATCTTTCTAAGGAAGTTGTGAGGACGGAGCCATCTGTGCACTCTTCATGGAAACCATGGCCATTTGCAACAGCTGCCTGGGGAGAGCAAGTTCAGTGAGTCGGGAGGTTCCAATTTTGCTCTACCTATTTCAAGTTATCTAGTAAACTGCATGTGCTTCTGCTCATAAATTTCAGCAATCCCATTTTGGCTCCCAGACTTCCTGCAGAAGGGGTTATGATGTTATATGATTTAATGATCTGACAAAAGCTTTGTCCCCACAGCTACAAATCTTAGGCAATCATCTGTTCCAATGTAATGCTAACCTTATGGGTCCCCTGAGTGCAATTTTCATGGCTACCAGAGACTCCCTTAACTGGTATCTAGTTACATGTTTCGAGAAGCATGTTTTTCGTAATTTTTAATATAAACATTGCAGATATATCATGCTAATTGATACACACTACATATCTGCACCCTGACCCAAGGAGAAAAAAATTGGCAAACTTACAGACAAATTGGAGAAATATTCATAAGATGAGCTTGTTTTAAAGCAATATCTACATTATACATTTCTGAGAATATATTTTCAAATGAAATGTTTAAATTATGAGGTGTCTTTTCTTCTTCACTGGAGAAGAAACTGTCATTTTTGGAAAAAAGTCTATTCCACTTAACTATTTCAGAAAATTTTAATTATGTTAATTAGTCTAAAAACATCATGTGTGCATGTGTTTGTGCACATAAGTGTATATGTTTTTTAAGGAATAATGTTATGTTTGCAGAAAGCAAGGCAGAGAAGAATGATAATCCATAGCAATTAATCCCTGGTAACATTATAGGTTGACGTTTTCATTGCACTGTATTCATGATTCATAGAACTATCAAACTGCAAAGTACTCACATGTCATTTATTTGAACAAGCCTAAGCATAGGTGTCCAAAGTCCCTTAAGTGACACCCACAGAGACATTCTCCTGGTGCCTGACTGACTTTGCTAACAGTGAAGAAATATCTGTCTCTTGGGTTTAATACCTAGTGAATCTTACTGGCCACCCCCAACCAGGGGCTGGAGGGCAGGGGACCCAGAAATAACACTGGTAGAGGTCCGCCTGTTAGGGAGCACAGTAGGGCAGAAAGGGGTGCAGAGGAGGTCCCTGGGGCCAGCGGGGAATATCTGGCACACGCCAAATGCTCCTCTAGCCATTGGATGGCAAGAATTAAACAGTTCTTTGTAGTTCTCATTCAGAACTCTCAATCTCATAAAAAGGGATTAAGACCTAGATGAGGAAAGTGACCTCCCCAGGACCCCCAGAAAGGTAGCTGTGGGTCATCAGAAGACAGCTTTGAGACTCCTGGTACACAACTCTTTAGTCTGCTAGGTGGACTTGTCAGCTCCTCTTAGGGCAGAGATGATAGTCTGGTTGTGGAAGAGAACAGTGAAGTGTCCCTCACTTGGAGCCGACCCTGAATTCTGGCTTGAAGGATCTTGCAAGTTGTTTAATTGGGATAGTCACAGACAGCCTCTGCGTGCCTGAGATGAGTGGTCTCGACCTGAGGAGCAAAAAGGCAAATAGTGCTCCAGAACAAGTTAGCTCTTTTTAAGAAGCCAAAGTTAAAATTCTTGTAATCCTTTTTGGCTTGGAAATGGAAAAAAAAAATACAATCAGGAAAATGAGAATTAGATTTGCAAACGATATTTTAATAAAAATAGGATAATACAAAAATCTCATTTTAAAATTTGTTTAAAATGTATCCATTATGTTTTAATGATAACTCAGAGTTATCCCTGATGAGGCAACAGGAGGAGGCAGAGAAATGCCCCAACTTTTGAACTTTGTACGATGTACATGGGTGGCAAAGTTACCCAGAAACATGTGGCCTAAGCAGAAGCAAAGGTCACTGGTTTATACAAACTAAACAAAGTAGAGTGTCCTGAGGAACAGTGCACAATGCTGTCATCTAGCAACTGGGAGCCACTACTCTAGGGGCCTCTAGGGGTCTCTGACATCAGCTTTTGCCCTTAACTTCCCCCTGGCTACGTTTGAGACAGATGATCTTGTGGTGTAAGAAACCTCCAAGGCTGAGTCCCTGCCAGGTGATTCAGGGCCATGGAGAAAGCACTACCCTGCTTAGTAGAAATTCCTTCCCCAGAATCCTCGTTGGCTTGCCCTCAGGATTTTTTACTTTGTTTACTATGTTTTACTCAAAGGTGATATCACCCAAAAGGTGGGGAAGGCATTACACATTCTCTCCCCACACCATTTGGAAATCCCCTAACAAGCATTACTAAAGCCCAGCCCTGCTTAGCTGGTGAAATCTCACTAATCTCTTGCCCAGGGCACTGCAATTCCAGTGACTGGTCCACGTGGAGAATTGCTAAAGGAGGTTTCTGTGTGTGTTTCAGCTTGGTAGAGACAACTCAGCAGGTGATGCCTCCAGGCTGCCCTCAGGAGAGGCAGGTGCTTCACAGCTTCTGCTCTGCAGGCTCGACATCAACTTGTGACACTGTGGAAGGAGCGGGCACCTCACCCTCCACAGTGTGTGGCTAGAACAGTCATCCAGTCCACACAGCACTTTCTGTTCCACAACCAGCCCAAACTGCCTTTACAATGCATTAGAAAAGCCACCCTTCCTCCAGCAAGTAGTTGCTATCTGCTGCAACATAGTTGTCAGAAACATGTAGATCTACAAGATCTGTTTGTGTAGAGAGCCCCAGGATTTGATGCCCTAAATGGTGGGTGGACCAGGGAACATGACACTCCTTCACAGCTGTGGGACCTCAGTGTCAGAAGCATCAAATGATGTGTCTCACATTGCACTACCTAAAATGAGTTAGATTTAGTTCTGTGGGCTAAAAATGGAAGTGAGAAAGGAAAAAACAAGACTTAACACCACAGCCTGCTGATAATGGCCCGAATGTTTAGGAGAAATGACAATGTATCCTTAGAAGGATTTTTTGTTTTGTTCTGTTTTGTTTGTTTGTTTGTTTTTTGCTAAAGTCTCCAAGTTTTTCTTCCCCCTAACACAGGCAAATACACAGGAGTACCTGCTTTTCCTTTTAGATTTTCACCTGACTTTTAGGGTCACATGCATGCAAGCTGAATATGCTTTTCTTAGAGCCAGTGGGATTTGCAAGAGGAGTATGTCTACTGGCATTAAAATGAAAGTATTGTCAAAAATGTCAATGGTAGACCACCATAATGTGTGTGTTTGTGTGTATGGGCATGTGTGTGTGTGCGTGTGAGTGTGTGTATTAAAAATAAGTTTTGAACTTTCCTAGAAAATTTTTATGGTGGTCTACCGTTGACATTTTTTTGTGTGTGTCTACACAATTCAATATTACTCAGCAATAAAACGAAAGCCACTACTGATACACACATGAATGTGGGTGGGTCTCTAAAACAAGGCTGAGGGAAAGAAGCCGTGAAGTCTTTTCTACATGTATGCATTGGTTGGGTCGTTGGTTGGTTGGTTGGTTGGTTGGTTCTGACAGGAAGCATGTTGTTCTGGATCCAAGACAGACCTGATGATTCACAGAGCATCTTGTGTCAGTTCCCCATGCAGCCCCTCCCCATGGGACGATGCAAGAAGAGCAGTGGGCACCTACACATGTGATTTGGTTTGTGCCACAAGAAGGAGCTCCAAATCATAAATCTTGCAGCTTATGTGGGTGGCTGGTACAGCTGCCTGGCTCCCCCTCTGGAGGAAAGAGAGAAACCTGGTTTTTTTGTTTTTTTTTTTTTTTGACATAAACAGATCCTCTCAGGTGGGAAGGAGAAGCCTTCAGGTCCATTGCCCTTTGGAATGTAAGCTAATGGCTGCAGAGCAGATGAACCATAGTGTTTCTGGAATAACTCCCCATCTCTAACTTCCCAGACATGGTTACCATCAATCATCCTTCAGCCCAGGTGGCCAGGACTTTTTGCTTAAAAGCCCAGATCATGCAAAAACTTGAAAATATTCATGGAGTGTTGTTTTTTGACAGAAGCCAGACATAAAAAACTCCATACAGTATAATTTTTTGTTAGGAAATCTAAAACATCGAAGTGAATGTGTAGTCACTGAATGCAATCAGCAGCTTTCTGGGGCTGGGACAAGTTGGGTGATGGACAGTAAAGGGGAAATTTCTGAGGTGATGGGAATGCTCTATGTCTTAATTTTTGTCACAGTTTCACCACTGTAATATTTGTCAAGTTTCATCCAACTGAACAGTTAAAAGCAGAGCATTTACAGTCATGCTGGAATCCTCAGTAACATTGTTGACAAGTCCAGCTTGGACAGATTCCTTTGAGTTGTTTACATGGAGACTGGTGGGCAGCTTCCAGCCACACTGGCCAGTGCTCCTACTTCTATACCACTCTTTTATTCAACTTACATATAAATAGTCATGTACTGCATAACAACATTTTAGTCAATTATGGACTATATTATAGTGGCCCCAGAAGATGATAATACTGAATTTTTACTGTACTCTTTCTATGTTTAGATAAACAAATGCTTCCCATCGTGTTACAACTGCCTACAATATTCAGTATAGTCATATGCTGTACAGGTTCGTGGCCTAAGAGCAATAGGCTATACCATATAGCCCAGGTGTGTAGTAGGCTCTACCATCTAGGTTTGTATAAGTATACCCTGTCATGTTTGCACAATAACAAAATGGCTTAATGACACATTTCCCAGAATGCACCTCAGTTGTTAAGAGATGCATGACTGTGTATGACTTGTGTGCTTGGTTTCACGATATGTAAGTCAAATATTGCTATAGCAAAGGTACCAAAAACTGGAGCCTCTCATTTTCCATTTCTTATACTCTCAAGTCTCACACCTAGCAAATAACATGCTCTTTGAAATGATGATAATAATAATAATAACAGAATCTTATGTTTGAACACACTGCCACTGTAGGATGGCTCCCCAGCCTCAATCACTATATCAACAACATAAGAATGAGTCAGGTTTAGGGAGCTAAGGTTCTGCATCATGGTGTTACATAGCTAAGGCTTCATTGAGCTCTTCCTTTATATTGGTGTGTAGAACACTCAAAAGTAATACAACTTCTCTTTTCCTTTTTTTCTTTTTGCCATATGATATTAAAATTGATAGAAAAAGTGCAGCTTCTCTACAATTGCAACATGGAGTTACAGAAGAATGTTTAAGCACTTTTTTTGTCTTCCCAATAGCCACTGTTGCTAAAGAATGGAAATTAAGCCATATCCTTTAGCAACAGAGTGATACAGCTGAGCAAAATATTTTTAAAATAAATGTTTTTCTTACATTATAAAGATGACATGTTGTTGTTTGGGAACATTTAGAAGATACAGAAAAAGTAGAAGGGAAAAATATCAATCTACACTCAAACTCTTGAAAATTGGTTTCTGCCAAAAGGCCCATAATTCTTTTAAATGCCTTTTCCTCACCCCAGTGATTTCTTCATTTCTCTGCTTTTTAGACTCCTCTATCTCATGAGCCCAGAAAAAAGTCACTGCTCTTTGTGTTAGATATCAACATGACTTAGAACCATTGAGTTAGAATCTGGTCATCCCATATTCCATGTGGCAATGACACATACTATAGATTGAATCCACCTGGATAATTTCCTGTAATTCTTTAGTCTGGAGACATCTTGTTCACCACAGCCACCTCCCACTCATTTTCACACCCATCATCACAAGCTTTTCTTGTTAACAGAACTTCCAAGTTGCACCCACCTGTCCCCACACATGCATAGAATTCCTTCTCCTAAAATGGCCCTATTTTAAGGAATCTAAAATATTTCTTTAAAAAATCATGAGACAAATAAATTCCTTCTTCTACAATGGAAATAAAGGAGAATCAAATATATACAAATCTTGTCTTTGTGGATTTACAGTAGGGAATGTAAGGCACAAGCACAAAAGCACTGAGCTGAGGCAGAAGGTAATGGTTAGCTTATAGAGTAAGCAAAAAAAATGATTCTGAAAACACTATACATGTACACTACAACTGAACAATTAAGTAAATGAATGGCAGGTGGTAAGAGCCAGGTTTCTCACTGTGGGAGAGGCAACAAGCAAGAGAGGAGGCTCTAATGACCCATATGGTAGTGGATTAGTCTTGGAAACATCACTGTGAACTCATGTTTATCTTGATGTAGAGATAGGCACACACAGAAATGTGTACACATGCAGGTTGGTATGCATATGTATTTTCTTGCTCTGTCAGGTCAAAGTGCCTGCAAGCAACTATACCCCAGCACCAGCAAGCACAGGCACCCAGATCTTGGTGTCTAACATCATTCTCTCATGAAAGGAGCCAGGGGTTCTCAGAAAAATTGCTGATTCTAGGACTGGAACAGGAAGTATACGAGATGATCCCGAAGTATCTTACTGTGCCAAAAAGCGAGCAAGTGCTGAAAATAAAACCCAAAACAAACATGTTGGGGGCATGTCAAAGGAACACAGAAACCAACTGGAAAAGGTCTCAATGGCCAAAACTGAAACAATTTGAAAAACAAAAAGTAACATTGGATGATAATTCAAAATATGAAATAAATAAACATGAGTCCATACTGATCAAAATAAAACATTGAATAAATAAATAAATGGGGGTGAAGAGAAAAATGTCCTAGGCGGGAGCATTCCGAATAATTTATGTAGAAACTCTGGCCTCTAGAAGATGGAGTAAACTCTTCACCCCTTAAGTGTTGATTGTTGATAGTGTCTTCCATCCAAAGAGTACAGTATGAAAAGAAAACAAGTAACTTGACAGTAGAGAAATATCACCAACATAACCTCAGCCAGAGATCAGGGTCAACATTAACAGGGCGAAGTCATGCTGACAGTGCTTACCCTTGACAGGATGTGATGAAAATGGCCCTCTATCTCTGTGGCCTTCCTCCCAAGAACCTATAACCCCAGTCTGTTGATGAGAAAGACATTAGACAAATAACAGTTAGGGGACATTATACAAAACACCTAACCAGTCCTCCTCAAACTGTCAAGATCATCAAAAGCAACAAAATTCTGAGAAACTGTCACAGCCAAGAGGAGCTGGAGGAGACATAACGACTAAATGCCATGCAATATCCACAGTGGGATCCTGGATCAGAAAAAGAACATAAGGTAAAAATTAAGGAAATCTGAATAAAGTATGGACTTTAGTTAATAATAGTGTTGCAACGTTGATTCATTAATTGTGAAAAATGTACCATACTAATATAAGGTGTTAAACAGGTATATGGGAACTCTCTGCACTATCTTTGCAATTTTTCTATAAAATAGAATGAACCAAATGCCCATCAATCAATGAGTGGATAAAGAAACTGTGATATATATATATATGTGTGTGTGTGTATATACACAATGGAATACTATGCAGCCATAAAAAGAATGAATTAACAGCATTTGCAGTGACCTGGATGAGATTGGAGACTATTATTCTACATGAAGTAACTCAGGAATGGAAAACCAAACATTGTATGTTCTCACTGATATATGGGAGCTAAGCTATGAGGACACAAAGGCATAAAAATAATACAATGGACTTTGGGAATTTGGGGGGGAAGAGTAGGAGGGGAGTGAGGAATAAAAGACTACAAATATGGTGCAGTGTATACTGCTCACATGATGGGTGCACCAAAATCTCACAAGTCACCACTAAATAACTTACTCATATAACCAAATACCACCTGTACCCCAGTAACTTATGGAAAATTTTTTAAATTATAAATTAAAATTAGAAATCATAAAATTTATCTTTATAAATAAAAATTATATAAATTAAATTAATATAAATTATAACATGATTGTTATAAAGAAATAAATTTTTCTATAAAATAAAATTATTCTAAAATAGTCTATTTAAAAACAAGTAAATAGAAAGAGAAATGGAGATTCAGAGGGAAGAGAAGTGAAGAAGCATTTTTATGTCTATCTACGCATTTGATCCTCCTGGCAAGAGTGCTGTTCCTATTTTAACTATGAAAAAATTCAGTAAAATTCAGCTACTTATCCAATGTCACAGAGAAAATTCCAGTTGATATAAATATTTGGATGTTTATTCTGTACTATTTGGTATACTTTTCTATATCTGGATATCCTTACCAATAAAAGCAATCACTGCTGACTTAAAAAAATAACAGCAGAAAAATCATGGGAGGAATAAAAGATATCAAATCTCCATTTAGCAATACATCCCTATAACTTGCCTGGTACTTGAGAGCTTTCCAGATGCTTGCACCAAAAGGAACTATCAACAGAGTAAACAGACAACCTACAGAATGGAAGAAAACATTTGCAAATTACACATCCAACAAAGATCTAATACCCAGAATCTATAACAAGCTTTAACAAGTCAACACACACACAAAAAAACCTCATTATAAAATGGGCAAAGGACATGAACAGACACTTCTCAAATGAAGACATACACTCAGCCAACAAGCAGATGAAAAAATACTCAACATCATTAATCATTAGAGAAATGCAAATTAAAAACCACAATGAGATATCATCTCACACCAGTCAGAATGGCTACTATTAAAAGTTCAAAAAACAACAGATTCTGGTAAGGTTGCAGAGAATACGGCTCGTTTATACACTGCTGGTGGGAATGTAAAGTAGTTCAGCCACCATGGAAAGCAGTTTGGAGATTTCTCAAGGAACTTAAGACAGAAATACCCTTCAGCCTAGCCATCCCATTTTGCGTATATACCCAAAGAGATATAGATCATTCCACGGCAAAGACATATGCGTGCATATGTTGATCACAGCACTATTTACAATAGCAAAGACATGGAATCAGCCTAGATGCCCATCAGTAGTGGACTGAATAAAGAAAATGAGGTACATATATACCATGGAATACTACACAGCTATAAAATAACAAAATTATGTCCTTTCAGGATAATGGCTGCAAGCCTAAGCAAATTAAGACAGAAACAGAAAACCAAATACCACATATTCTCACTTATAAGTGGGAACTAAACATAGAGCACACATGGACATAAAGAAGGGAACAATAGACACCAAGCATACTTTTCTAGGTGGTGAAAATTTTCTGCATCTTGGCTATGCAATTGTATTCATTTCTCAAAACTCATTAAAATATGCACTTAAAAGTTGGCTTTTTAAAGTATAAATTCCTAAACCTGACCAAAATACATTTGCAATAAACATCTCCCCGTGCCCTGCCCCACAGACATAATATCATGCTGTTATAATAATAGTGTATATACAATTTTTTGAGAACTCTCTTCCCACTGGATATACTTTTTGAATAGCTTTCCCTGTTGCTGCACTATTCTGAGTCTGAGATGCTGCCATCCAGGATGGTCCTAGGCTCCAGCCACTGGAGGGAAAACAGCTAATCCAGTGAGATCCAACACGTGATAAGACCAGCATCCTGAGTGTGCTTTCCGGTGTTGTGAAATTAATTGACGTGTCACCAGTCCCAAATTCACATTTTCTCCGTGAGGCATCTGGGGGATGCAATCGTGTCAGAGAGCTGTGAGGCATCAGAAGTGAGGCTGGCACAGACTCCTCTCAGCAGGCCAGGGGTGCATCGCTCCTCCCCTTTTCTCGGGCACTTCCCAGCGTGAAGCTGCTGACTCCATGCCATGTGTACTTTTAGAAATGAAATGCCCCAGCCCACTTCACTCTTGGCATCTATGGATTGGAGTGAACACTGAAGTTAACAGACATCTGAATAAGAATAGAAAAGAAATCCAAACAGAAAAACCACATTCCCTTCCAGTCTAGTTAAAGCCATAATTTTAAATTAATCACTCACATTCTGTTCAGAGGTTATTTTCTTGGTCTATGACATAGTCACCCAGGATACTCATAACTGGTAATAAAAATTATGAGGGCAATTAAAAATACCAAGACTCCGGTTCCGCACAATGAGCCTTGCCCCTGACCAACCAAATGGCTCATCATCCATCCCGAGGGCAACCACTGGGTGCCTTCTCTGATGGCCTCTTCCAGAAGGCTTCTCCAATTACAATGGTCTGTGACTTGTGATGACACAATCTCCTAAAACCCCAAATCTTCTACAAACTCTTCCAACTCCAGTAACCCCCAAAGCAGGGCAAACTAAATAGATAGTCCATTTCCTTCCCAGGGGATAGAGTCAGAGTCATTAAAAGTGGTCTTTAATGTGAGAAATTGAAAAGGAGTTGGGAAAGTGATAATAACTTCTGCAAGACCAGGAAAGTGTCATTAAAGACATGATGGGAAACCAGTGAGAACCCTGCTCACTTTGGGCCATTATTGATGGGTAATGAAAACATAAAGGAGTTCATAGGGAGTGAGACAAAGCTTTCAGGCTATGAGGAGTGACTTCCAGAGGAAGCAAGGTCCTGAAGGAGATGTACTCAAAAGAAAAGAATAGCATAAAAGGGGCATAGAGGGAGAAGGGGCACTAGAGGTGGGGAGGAGGGGAGAGGGTCACAACTGGGGCAGACCACAAGCATTGGCAAGAAGGGGAGGGGGACAGAAAAGAGCAGCCCAGAACCATGGGTGCCTTTCTTCCCGTTGTGCAATTTTTTTTTTTTTTTTGAGACCGAGTCTCACTCTGTCACCCAAGCTGGAGTGCAGTGGTGCGATCTCGGCTCACTGCAATATCCGCCCCCGGGGTGCAAGTGATTCTCCTGCTTCAGCCTCCCCTCCCGAGTAGCTGGGATTACAGGCGCCTGCCACCGTGCCCCACTAATTTTTATATTTCTTGTAGAGATGGAGTTTCACCATCTTGGCCAGGCTGGTCTTGAACTCCTGACCTTGTGATTCCCCCACCTCGGCCTCCCAAAGTGCAATTTTTGATGCTGAGTAAAACTGAAAGCTGTGCCCCATTGGAAGGCTGTTGTCCCACACACCTTACACTCATAAAGTTTCTCCCCAGTGCAAACTCTGATGCAGAACCTAGATGATTTTTCAACTGGATGCTTTCTCACATTCCTGGCATTCATGAAATTCTCCCCCAGTGTGTGTTCCTTGCTGCACTGTGAAGCAAGAGACACAGGGAGCCTTTGCCAGCATTCCCCAAGTTCACAGACGGTTTCCCAGCATGGAATCTCTGGTGCTGAAGAATTACCCACCTCTGGCAGAAGGCCCTGCATGCTCTTTACATTCATAACATTTCTCTCCCTGTAGACTCTGTGATGCTGAATCAGGACAGAGGAAGACTAAAACTACACCCACACCCTTTACATTTGTAGGGTTTCTCCTTAGTGTGAATGCACACTCATGAACCGAAAAGCATGTTCATATTCCTTACATTCAAAGGGTTTCTCCCCAGTGTGGGTTCTCTGATGCTGAATAAGTGTTCCATTATATCTGAAGGTTTTCCCCAAGTCCCCACATTTCTAGGGCTTCTCTCCATTATGAAGTTTCTGATGTTGCAGAAGGAAGGACTTTCTTTCCTCCTTTCTTTCCTCCTTCCCAATGCCCAGTGAAGGCATTGTCTACATGCTTGATGTGAGCAGGGCTTCTTCCCAGTGTGGATTTTCTGGTGCCATGACTATTTCAACCCATATCTGAAGCCTTTCCCATCTTCTTTCCACTGTAGACCTTCTCATGAGCAGGGATCCTGTGGTGCTTGTGAAGATCTGAATGTCAGTTGAAATATTTGCTACATATATGGAACAACTGCATCCTAGCAATGCTCTGAATTGCAATGAGGTGTGTGCTGACTTCACTTTTTCCCAATTTCTTGGCTATCTCCTCTTTAGATGGTGGAGGGTTATAACCTTGGGCTGTCAAAACCCTAAATTCTCTGCTCTTTAATTTTGTTTTCTTCCCTGTGTCGTACAGCTGCAGCTTCTCTGAACCGTCCCTGAGGTCAGAGTCCTGGGGAACATCAGCAATGCTGCCCTGGACATCTGACACTCAGGATCCTCTGAAATGTTCAGCTTTGGATCTGGTTCCCACTCCTGGTCTTGGTTTTTCCACCTATGCAGCATCTCTCGGAGCCTCTTCATCCATGGGTGCCCAAGGATCAATGCTTTTTTTTTTTTTCTTTTTTTGTCTTTAGTTTTCTAAAGTTCAATTATGATGTGTTTTGTTTTGTAATTATTTAGGCTTATCTTGTTTGGAGAACACTCGGCTTTTTTAAAGTGTTGCTCTACATTCTTTGTCAAATCTGAGACATTTTCAGCCTTTGTTTCTTCAGTTAGTTTCTCAGCCCCACCCTTTTATTGCCCTCCCTCTGGGACTCTGATGGTACAAATGTTAGATCTGTGTTACTGTCTCACAGTTTTCTCACTGTTGTTTGTATTAGGTAATTATATTGCTCCATCTTCAAGTTCACTGATTCTTTCTTTTATATTCATCCTGTTAACAAGCCTATACAGTAAGTTTTAAATTTCAGTCATTGTATTTTTCAGTTCTATCATTTCCTTTCAGTTCTCTTTCACAGTTTCTTTTCTTTGATTCCACTTTCTATTTTTTTTCATTTGTTTCAGGAGTATTTGTAATTGCCTACTGCAATCTTTAGCAAAAAGAGCAAAGCTGAAGCTGAAGGCATCACACTACCAGACTTCAAAATACACTGTTGGGGTTCAGAAAACAGTAGCCCAAAATGAAAGCCTCAGAATCAGCCTCAGAAACAAAAGATTTTCTTTGACTTTTCATGCCTTCCTGTCTCTCAGTCCCATTCTCCCCTGAGGCTTGCCATAGAAACTAGAATTCCCATTCTGTAAGGTGGCTCATAGAAACCAGAATCTCTTTTCCCCAAAGACAGTCATAAAACCTAAAAATAGTACTCTAATTTTTTCTCCACCTTTCTATGTAAAAACTGGCCATGTAAAAAAATAACTTAAAAAGAAAAAAAGTTACCTGATCTACCTTGCTTGACTATAGGTCATAAGACCCCCCCATTCCAGAGAGGGTCCTGCTTTACACCCAGAAGGAAGGAATGCCACTCAGAGAGGCCAAGAGAAATATTGACAGACAGGCCTTGTTGGGTTTCCCCACTCCATCTATTAGCATTAGATCATGTCCTTTTTTGTCCAGTCGTATTTCTTCAAAACTGTTCGTACTTTGTTGAACCTAAGCACAAAAGTGGACAATTTCCCCTGAATCTTTGGGTCTTCATTCTGAAGGTCTCTGTGTACACATGTTAAATAAATGTGTATGCCTTTATTAATCTATATTTTGCAAGTTGATTTTCCAATGAATCTTCTGAGGGCAAAGGGGGAAATCTCCCCTTGGTCCCTGCAATACTGCAAAGCTATCATAGTCAAAACAATACGACACCTGCATAAAAACAGACACATAGACCAATAGAGTAGAATAGAGAGTCCAGAAAGGAATCCACACACCTAGAGCTAACTAATTTTTAACAAAGGTGAGGAAAAAACAGTCTCTTTAATAAATGCTGCTGAAAAAAACTGGATATCCACATGCAAAAGAATGAAACTAGACCCTGTCTTTCACTATTTAAAAAAAATCAACTCTTGTAAATTTGTTTGAGTTCATTGTAGATTCTGGATATTAGCCCTTTGTCAGATGAGTAGGTTGTGAAAATTTTCTCCCATTTTGTAGGTTGCCTGTTCACTCTGATGGTAGTTTCTTTTGCTGTGCAGAAGTTCTTTAGTTTAATTAGATCCCATTTGTCAATTTTGGCTTTTGTTGCCATTGCTTTTGGTGTTTTAGACATGAAGTCCTTGCCCATGCCTATGTCCTGAATGGTAATGCCTAGGTTTTCTTCTAGGGTTTTTATGGTTTTAGGTCTAACGTTTAAGTCTTTAATCCATCTTGAATTGATTTTTGTATAAGGTGTAAGGAAGGGATCAAGTTTCAGCTTTCTACATATGGCTAGCCAGTTTTCCCAGCACTATTTATTAAATAGGGAATCCTTTCCCCATTGCTTGTTTTTCTCAGGTTTGTCAAAGATCAGATAGTTGTAGATATGCGGCGTTATTTCTGAGGGCTCTGTTCTGTTCCATTGATCTATATCTCTGTTTTGGTACCAGTACCATGCTGTTTTGGTTACTGTAGCCTTGTAGTATAGTTTGAAGTCAGGTAGTGTGATGCCTCCAGCTTTGTTCTTTTGGCTTAGGATGGACTTGGCGATGCAGGCTCTTTTTTGGTTTCATATGAACTTTAAGGTAGTTTTTTCCAATACTGTGAAGAAAGGCATTGGTAGCTTGATGGGGATGGCATTGAATCTGTAAATTACCTTGGGCAGTATGGCCATTTTCATGATATTGATTCTTCCTACCCATGAGCATGGAATGTTCTTCCATTTGTTTGTATCCTCTTTTATTTCCTTGAGCAGTGGTTCGTAGTTCTCCTTGAAGAGGTCCTTCACATCCCTTGTATGTTGGATTCCTAGGTATTTTATTCTCTTTGAAGCAATTGTGGATGGGAGTTCACTCATGATTTGGCTCTCTGTTTGTCTGTTGTTTCTGTATAAGAATACTTGTGATTTTTGTACATTGATTTTGCATCCTGAGACTTTGCTGAAGTTGCTTATCAGCTTAAGGAGATTTTGGACTGAGACAATGGGGTTTTCTAGATATACAATCATGTCATCTGCAAACAGGGACAATTTGACTTCCTCTTTTCCTAATTGAATACCCTTTATTTCCTTCTCCTGCCTGATTGCCCTGGCCAGAACTTCCAACACTGTTGAATAGGAGTGGTGAGAGAGGGCATCCCTGTCTTGTGCCAGTTTTCAAAGGGAATGCTTCCAGTTTTTGCCCATTCAGTATAATATTGGCTGTGGGTTTGTCATAGATAGCTCTTATTATTTTGAAATACGTCCCATCAATACCTAATTTATTGAGAGTTTTTAGCATGAAGGGTTGTTGAATTTTGTCAAAGGCCTTTTCTGCATCTATTGAGATAATCATGTGGTTTTTGTCTTTGGCTCTGTTTATATGCTGGATTACATTTATTGATTTGTGTATATTGAACCAGCCTTGCATCCCAGGGATGAAGCCCACTTGATCATGGTGGATAAGCTTTTTGATGTGCTGCTGGATTCGTTTTGCCAGTAATTTATTGAGGATTTTTGCATCAATGTTCATCAAGGATATTGGTCTAAAATTCTCTTTTTTTGTTGTGTCTCTGCCTGGCTTTGGTATCAGAATGATGCTGGCCTCATAAAAAGAGTTACGGAGGATTCCCTCTTTTTCTATTGATTGGAATAGTTTCAGAAGGAATGGTACCAGTTCCTCCTTGTACCTCTGGTAGAATTCGGCTGTGAATCCATCTGGTCCTGGACTCTTTTTGGTTGGTAAGCTATTGATTATTGCCACAATTTCAGATCCTGTTATTGGTCTATTCAGAGATTCAACTTCTTCCTGGTTTAGTCTTGGGAGAGTGTATGTGTCGAGGAATTTATCCATTTCTTCTAGATTTTCTAGTTTATTTGCGTACAACAAAAAAACAAACAACCCCATCAAAAAGTGGGCAAAGGATATGAACAGACACTTCTCAAAAGAAGACATTTATGCAGCCAAAAAACACACGAAAAAATGCTAATCATCACTGGCCATCAGAGAAATGCAAATCAAAACCACAATGAGATACCATCTCACACCAGTTAGAATGGCTATCATTAAAAAGTCAGGAAACAACAGGTGCTGGAGAGGATGTGGAGAAATTGGAACACTTTTACACTGTTGGTGGGACTGTAAACTAGTTCAACCATTGTGGAAGTCAGCGTGGAGATTCCTCAGGGATCTAGAACTAGAAATACCATTTGACCCAGCCATCCCATTACTGGGTATACACCCAAAGGAGTATAAATCATGCTGCTATAAAGACACATGCACACGTATGTTTATTGTGGCATTATTCACAATAGCAAAGACTTGGAACCAACCCAAATGTCCAACAATGATAGACTGGATTAAGAAAATGTGGCACACATACACCATGGAATACTATGCAGCCATAAAAAATGATGAGTTCATGTCCTTGGTAGGGACATGGATGAAACTGGAAATCATCATTCTCAGTAAACTATTGCAAGAACAAAAAACCAAACACCGCATATTCTCACTCATAGGTGGGAATTGAACAATGAGATCACATGGACACAGGAAGGAGAATATCACACTCTGGGGACTGTTGTGGGGTGGGGGGAGGGGGAAGGGATAGCATTGGGAGATATACCTAATGCTGGATGACGAGTTAGTGGGTGCAGCGCACCAGTATGGCACATGTATACATATGTAACTAACCTGCACAATGTGCACATGTACCCTAAAACTTAAAGTATAATTAAAAAAAAAGAAAAAAAATCAACTCAAAATAGATTAAAGACTTAAATGTAAGACCCCAAGCTGTGAAAGAACTAGAAGAAAATACAGGGCAGATGTCCATGACATTGGTATGGGCAAAGAATTTTTAGCTAAGACCTCAAAAGCATAAGCTACAAAAGCAAAAACAGACAAATGGAATTACATCAAATTAAAACGCTTCTGAGGCAGGAAAATGGCAAGAACCCAGGAGGCGGAGCTTGCAGTGAGCCGAGATTGAGCCACTGCACTCCAGCCTGGGCAACAGAGCAAGACTCTGTCTCAAAAAAAATAATTAAAATAACTTAAAAATAAAAAATAAAATAAAAAGCTTCTAGACATCAAAAAAAATCAACAAAGCAACTACTCACAAAATGGAAAAAAACGTTTACAAACTATAGAAGTAGATTATTTCAATAGCCCTATCACTATAAGGAAAATTGTGCTGAGAATTTTTTAATTAAATCTTAATTTAATCAAGATTTGACTTTCAAAATGAAATCTCTAAACCCAGACAATTTCACTGGAAAATTATACCAAAGTTTTAAAGAAGAATTAACACTCATTTTACACAATCTATTCAGGAAAATTGAAGAAAGGACGTTCATTTGCCAATTCATTTTATGAAGCTAGTATTATCATGATGCCAAAACTAAACAAAAGCAAAACAAAAAAGGAAGAAAGAAGGCCAATATCCCTCATGAATACAGACACAAAATTCCTTAACAAAATACTAATAGAATGCTGTAATACATAAAAAGAAGTATACACTATAACTACGTGGCGTTTACTCCAGGGTTGCAAAGCTAGTTCAGTATTCAAAAATCAATCAACATAATGCACCATATCAACAGGCAAAAAAGGAACAATTACATGATCTTAGCAATCAAAGCAGAAGAAGCATTTGAAAAAAATTCAACACTTATTCATAGTGAAAGCTCTCAGAAAAATAAGAGTGCAGGTGAACTTCCTCATCTTGGTATGAAGCAGCTGCACAAAACCTACAGCTCACATTACACCTAATGATGACAGACTGGATGTGTCCTAACATCAGTAACTACATAAGAATGTCTCCTCTCATTACTCTTAGCCAACATAGTGCTAGGCATTCTCACTAGTGGAATGTAAAATATTTAGATGTAAATCTAACAAGGCATGTGTGTGACAGACATAACACATTTATGAGCTGGAAAACTCAACACAGTAAAGTTGTCAATTTAAATACTGATTTAATGAAATCTCTATTAAAATCTTAGCAGGAATTTTGTTGATATAGACAAGATTATACTGAAACTTATAAGGAAAGGCAAATGAATTAGAATAGCTAAAATCATTTTGAAAAAGAGAAATAAAATGGGATAAACAAGTCTATTCAATATTAAGAATTTTTATATAGCTATAGTAATCAGGACTATTTGATGTTGGTAGAGGGACAGACAGAGATTTAAAAAATGAACAGAAATAAACATAAATAGGCCCAACTGATTTTTGACAAAGGTATATAAATAATTCAACAGAGCAAAGATAACCTTTTTCAAAAAATGATGCTGGTGCAATTGAATATCAATAGGCAAAAGTAAATGAACAAATGTCAAGCTAAGGGTAAAGTCTTATACTTTATGCAAAAATTAATTAATAATGAATCACAGACTTATATGTAAAAAGTAAAACTATAACATGTTTATAAAAACATTCAGAGAAAAAATGGAGGCATCTTCGCTTCTATCTAGGAGGAGCTGAATGAGTGAATTACCTAAGCTTCCATCTAGGAGGAGGTCTATTAAACACCATGTAAATAGAGGAGACGATATGACAATGATAACTGAAACCAATGAAATAGACAACAAGCAACAGAGGAAATCATGAAACCAAAATCTGGTTATTTGAAAAGATCAGTAAGTTGGCACAATTCAAGTCAGATTAATTCAATAAAAAGAACAGAAAATACAAATTCAAGAATAAAAAAGAGGATACACTCACAGATTCGACAGATAAAAAAAATTTAAGAGGATACAATGAATAAGATTTTGCCAATAAAACTGGCATTTTAATAAAATAGCAACTTCAATGAGAGACATAAATTACCAAAATTGACTCCCCAAGAATAGAGAATATAAGTGACTCTTTATTAATGAAATTTAATTTGTAATTAAGATCTGTTCACAAAGAAAATTCCAGATCTCAATGGCTTCACTGATGAAATCAATCAAACATTTACCAAGAAGTAACAGCAATTTTACACAAATTTCTGCATAAAATGTAGGAGAAAGGAATATTTCCCAACGTATATCAGAAGCTCAGCATTAGGCTGATACCAACACCAAACAAAGACATCATAAGAAATGAAAGTTAGAGATCGGTAACTTTCATGAAAGAAGTCACAGTAAAATTCTTTGTAAAATATTAACCTCTCCTCAGATACACCATGCCCCGTGCCTGGTCTGTATTTTGAATGGGAGGATGGGGGACATGGAAAAAGAAAAAATATTAGCAAATAGAATTTATCAAATTATGAAAAGATATTGCATCATGGCCTAAAGACATTTAACCAATGAATACAAGGTCTAGCAATGAAATGAAATTCACCATTTAAAAAATATAAAGAAGAAAAATCTTATGATCATTACTACAGATGTGTGTATGTGTGTAATATAACACAGACATAAATATATGATACATACATGCACATATACATGAGCAATGATTCTATCTATTTACAGATAGTTAAGTTTTTCATAGATACCCTTTATCTAGTTAAGGAAGTTCCTTTCTATTCCTAGTTAGCCAAGATTTTTTTAAATCATGGATATGTGCTAAATTTTATCCATGTCTATCTATCTATCTATCTATCTACCTACTTACCTATTTATCTACCCATCCATATATCCAAATATAGATGCTTTCCCCTAAAATTAGAGACAAAGGTAGAATGTCTACTCACTGCTTCTATTAAATTGATGGCCCAGGACAATAAGGCAGTACCAATTAATAAACATTATATATATTAGAAAGGAAGAATCAAACTGCATCTGTTAACAAATTAATGTTCAAATTCACAGAGAATCCTAAGGTATCTGCAAAAAAAGCTACTAGAGTTAACATATGAGTTTAGCAAGGACACAGGATTCAAGGTCAATACACAAAACTCAAATAGATATATCCACATACTAGGAAAGAACAATTACATTTGAAGTTTAAAAAATGGTGCCCTTACACGCCTGTAATCCCAGCACTTTGGGAGGCCAAGGCAGGCGGATCACGAGGTCAGGAGATCGAGACCATCCTGCCTAACATGGTGAAACCCCGTCGCTACTAAAAAGACAAAAAAATTAGCCGGGCATGGTGGTGGGCGCCTGTAGTCCCAGCTACTTGGGAGGCTGAGGCAGGAGAATGGCGTGAACCTGGGAGGCAGAGCTTGCAGTGAGCGGAGATGGCGCCACTGCACTCCAGCCAGGGCAACAGAGTGAGACTCCGTCTCAAAAAAAAAAAAAAAAGAAAAAGAAAAAGAAAAAAATGGTGCCTTAAAAACATCATACAAAATAATGCAATTTATTTAGCAGAAATTAATTTAGCAAAATATGTGCATGGTATAAAACCTTACTCAGACCAGTGAAAGAAAGAAAGAGATATACCATGTTTATGCATTGGAAGGCTCAGTATTAAGATTTCAGTCCTTTACTAATTGATCTGGAGATTCAAAATAATCCAAAGTAAAATCCCCGGAATCTTTTTGTTGTTGTTCTTGTTGAGAAACTGACAATTTGATCCTAAAATTAGATGGAAATGTAAAGGGTATAAAATAACCAAAATAATTTTGAAAAATTAGAACAAAGTTGCACAGATTATATGTTTTCAAGACTGTTGGGAATATAAAATGGTACCACATTGTGAAAGACAATTTTGCTGTCTGTTATAAAGTTAAACATTTACTTAATATACAATCCAGAAACTTTATTCCTAGGTATTTACCCAAGAGAAATGAAAACATATATCCACATAAAATTTGCACACAAAAGTTCATAGCAGCTTTTTTCATCATGGCTCCAAACAGGAAACAACCTAAATGTTCAACAATAGGCGCACGGATAAACAAATTGTTGTACAGTCACACAGTAGAACACTAACAACTGCACAAAAAAAGTTATGCTAGAACTCTTAGGTCTGAATGTTTATGTTCCCCTAAAATTCATATGTTGAAATCCTAACTTCCAATGTGATGTTCTTAAAATATACAGCCTTTTGGAATGATTAGATCATAAAGGTGGGGTCCTCCTGAATGGGACTAGTGCTCTTACAAAAGGAGTCCCAGAGAGTTCCCTCATACCTTCCACCCTATGGGACACAGAGAGACTGCGTTATCTGTGAAGCAGGAACCCAACCTTCACCTGATGGTGAATCAGCCAATGCCTTGATCTTGGACTTCTAGCCTCTAGAACTGTGAGAAATAAGTTTCTGTTTTTTATCAACCACCCAATTTTCAGTGTTTGTGTTACAGCAGCTCAAATAGAGTAAAACAGGAACACACACAACATGAATAAATCTCAAAACATCATGCTGACAAAGCAAAAAGCCAGACACAAATGTATGCATGCTGTATAATTCCATTCTTATTAAAACAGTAGGGGGAATGTAATCTATGGTGACAGGAAAGAGACCAGCAGTTGCCTGGTGATGGAATTGTGGGGGATTGACTGAGAGGGGGCAAAGTGAACTTCTGGGGTCTTGGAGATATTTTTTATCCTCTTTGTTGTGGTAGGTACACAGGTTTATGAATTTATTAAAACTCATCCAAATGTACACTTAAAATAAATATACTTTATCATATGTCTCTTATACATTATGCTTCAATGCAGTAGCTTCTCCAAGTAAAGTGATATGATTTGGCTGTGTCTTCACCCAAATCTCATCTTGAATTGTAGCTCCCACAATTCCCATGTGTCATGGAAGGGACCCAGTGGGAGGTAATTGAATTATAGGAGCAGACCTTTCCCGTGCTGTTCTCATGATAGTGAATAAGTCTCACAATATCTCATGGTTTCATAAAGGAGAGTTCCCCTGCACAAGCTCTCTCTTGCCTGCTGCCATGTAAGATGTCCCTTGCTCTTCCATCATGATTGTGAGGCCTCCCCAGCCATGTGGAACTGTGAGTCAATTAAATTTCTTTCCTTTATAAATTGCCCAGTCTTGGGTATGTCTTTATTAGCAGTGTGAGAACAGACTAATACATAAAGGTTGAATTAGTGTGTGTGTGTGTGTGTGTGTGTGTATGTGTGTGTGTGTAATGGGAATCAATATTAAGAAAGATGGGTCAATGATCCCAGTGCATGTCATGGGCATGAACTTTCACTTTCATCTTGTGTTTGTAGTAGGGTGCAGATGGGGTAGATCCCTAATCAGGAGGCTTTCCACACACCAAAGAACATCCTGACAATTTGCAAGTAGCCTCAGTGGAGGGCTTTGGAAGGAACAGGAGGGCAGGTGCTCTGGGCTGACAAAGGGAAGAGCCATTTGGGCAATACACAGTGCCTGTGCACACAGGAGAGGCCTGTGACTGGGGCTTCTTGGAGAGGCCTCTTGCTCCCAATGCTGTAGGCAGCCTTGCTCCAGCCCCTGGCCTACCTCCTCCTGCCAGACAGAAAGTCTGTGGGGCTAGAGACATCCGCACTGTGCCTGCGTCCCCTCCCTCCTAGACCACACTCTGGGTTCTGAGACGCCAGACACCTTCCCCAGTATGGACTGTACCCCTGTGTGTGCCCTGGGTGGCACAGGAAGTAGGGATGGGGGCCTCCAGGAGCACTTACCAGGACCCAGTGGTACAGGATGGAGCTGTCTGGAAAGAGGAGGTCCAGAGCTGGGGCTGTGACCATTGGTTCTCTTCTCCCTTTTGGCAAATCTTACAGTGGGGAAGCGGGGAAGGTTCCTTTTCCCTGTTTTCTCTGTCCAGGCAAGTGTGTTTCAGAATAGAGAGGTCAATAAATATTTTTAGATAAGTTAAAAATATGTAGCTAGACAGACGAGTAGAAGAGTGGATAAACTAAATAAGCAAAACTGCTCCAGAGAGAAGAGAACGCCAGAGGTGCATGGTGGCTGACTCTGGACCGAGCTCCCTGATCTGTATGATTCCTGTCTTCCCCATGACACTGGCCTGGCTCAACCCTCTCCCATCCCACATGAAGGGATCTGGTGTCTTTTGTGTCCTCACCAAGCAGATGGGTCCTGTCAGTCACAGTAGGGTAAAACATAATTAAAGAGGAATATCTCATGGCTTCTCAGTCATGGCTTCTCAGCCTTTTGGCTAAGATCAAGGGTCAAGTGGAGTACCTGCTGGTGGGAGCTTGTTTCCTTCACAGGATGCAGCCCCACAGCTCACATGGGGGACTGGGCAGATGTTTCAGAAGTGAGTCCAGCTGGGAGACTTTGTGGCTGGATGGGAATAACTCACAGCAGCTGGCGATGACTGAGCTACATGCCCCAGAGACGCCAGCCATCGGACAGCAAGAGGAGAAGAGCCTGGCTCTCCTGGGCACTGATGAGAGCTTGGGGCTGACACATTGTATAACAGGCACTGCTTGTTGTAGTGGCCACAGGTGCTGTTACGATGAAAAATACCAAATATTAGAAAAATACAAAATGTCTGGAATTACATCGTCAAAGAGGAGGAGGAGGAGGGGGAGGAGGAGGAGGGAGAGAAGGAGGAGGAGGGAGACAGAGTAGGTGATTCCTTGCAGAACTTCCCCCTCTCTCTTTGCTCACTTTTGTGGTCATTGCTATTGCTGTGATCCCAGTAAGGCGAGATCCTGTAAAATATTGACAATCGTTTCAAATCCACCCCAAGGAAAAAGAATGAATGACAATCTTACTGCTTTAAAACCAACTTGGTGTAGTTGAGTTGTGAGCCAACATGCTAACTTTGAAGGGGCCTCCAAAGCCTTTGACGAGCCTAAATGGAAAATCCATCTTCTTCCCAGGCAGAGGCTATGCCACAGCCGTCCTGTATGTAAACCCTATTACCACGGAAAGAGCATTTTTGTGGCATATCGACTAAGAAAATAACCAGGCTGCTCTTTCTTGTGGTATTGGAGCTGAGGACGAGGAAGTCTTCCCAGCCCAACCCTCTTAAGCCAGTAGAGTGATTCTAGAGGAAGAGAAATCTAAGACTCGGCTCAAGTCAAACACAGTCAGACAGCAGGGACAGCCTAGGGCAGGACTCAAAGAAAAAATCAAGGGAAATATAGCATTTTCCACCACAAAAATATTTAGAACATAGCTATTTGATACCCTGACTGTTCTAAAGTTGTTTTTTTCAGGAGGACATTAAAGCACTATATGTTATCAAATTGTTTTGTAAAAGTGTGTTGCAATCTCAGAGAATATTGTAATATTAGCTTACAAATTGTCACAGAGCAGTCATCATACACTTAAAATTTTTTTGCCTTTCTTCAAAGTTCTACCCAGAGGAAGAACACTTCAAACACATTTCACTTCATGGCATTTCTTCTGTCTTTTCATTTGTTTGCGTCTCAGCTTACTTAGGATGTTTAACATCTTGGAATCATAAACCTTAACATAACCAATGCATAAAAGTCGCAGCCACTGACCCAGTGTGGAGAGCAAGTGAACTGTGCTGCCAGCTGTGGCCCCCGCCCATGCTGCCTTCATGCTTCAGGTACCTCCAGACCTCACTACAGTACTGACACAGTATCCCAGCTCTGTGCTGCTTTCTCAGGCTGCAGCCACAGGGGGAGTATGAACACACAAACATGCCGATGGAAATCTCCTGTTTGAAAGCCTTGCTCTTCACACAAGGTTCAACATTCCTGTGGACTCTGGGACAACTAATCCCCTAGGACTAGTTCTCTGCACTCTCTAATACCCGGGCTCCATGCTGCTCCAGCTCACAGCAGGACTCACTCTGCCAGAATGTGCTTCCCTGTTTCTGGGCACCTGCAGGGATGAAACACATTTTCTTCATCCCATCCAGACTGAACCAAGTCCGTTTCTTCTTCCTGCTCAGCACACATGGCTTGTCTCAACTGCATGGCCCAGCGTCCTCAGCAGCTCAGAATGGCCAGGCCACCAAGTCCTGGCAGGCCCAGAACTGCTCATCAGTGTGATGAGTTCACTCCACACTGGCCCATACAAAGTTCCCAGGTGATCTTCCTTGCCTTTCCCTTTCTGAGTGACAGAAACACCCAGGCAGTGGGTAAGCCACACATTGGAAATGAGACAGCAGCTGTCACCACAGGCCTCTGAGCAACCACATGAGGAATGACTGCCTCCCGAAATGCTAGCCTTGGACTAAGAGATAAACATACTTTTTGAATTTTAAGCAACCGAAAACTTGGGTTTATTTGTCCCCAACCCTAAATCATATCCCTCTCTGACTCCCCCAGACTAAGTGAAGTCCCTTTCTATATGTCTCTCTGGCCCTGAAGCTTTTGTTCATTGTGCACTCTAAAAATGTAGTGAAAGGTTTATTTCACTACATGGAATTATGTTTTTCTATATAAGTATTATTCTTGGAGCTATAAAGCCCCATAGAGATCTTTAACCTAATATCTAGCACAAAATAGGCACTCATTAAATATTTGTCGAATGAATGAGTAAATATTAAGCACTTATATTTGCAGTACCCCATCTAATTTTGTCAGCGATCTAGAGTAGCAGTTTCCACTATCCTTCTTACTACAAGTTGAGTATCCCCTGTGCAAAATGCTTGAGACTAGAAGTGTTTCAGATTTTGAGTTTTTTCAGATTTTGGAATATCTGCATTATATTTACTCCAATGAGCATTTCCTTTGAGCATCATCATGGTGCTTAAAATTTATTTTTAGATATTGAAGCACTTCAGATTTCAGATGTTCAGACTTGGGATGCTGAACCTGTACAGATAAGAAAGCAAGATGAATTACATAATTTGCCAAGGTCCAGGAGTAAAATAAATCAGTGCTAAGATTTCAACCCAAGACTAACTTTAATATACTATGGTCCTGGGATCACATTAAGGAATATTAATATTAACCAGACATCGCCTACAGTAAGTATAAAGAAAGAGCATTGCAAAAACCTAGAGGAAAAGAAAGGCATGACACAGTCAGGAACAGGGGAGATGTGAGAAGAAGCCACAGGTTGGGTTTTATGAAGGCTGGAATGAGCAAGGAAGATAGCTCAGCACCCAAACCAAAGTGCTTTGTTTTCAGTCTGGGGATTCCAGACTTCATTCTATGGGTGGGTGGGGAGGAGACAAGAGGGACTAGCCTATAGGCTTTTTAAGCGTGGTAATGAAGGATCCATCCATTCTGAATTTTAGGACAATGACTGGCAGCCAGTACAGGGACCAATAAGCAGGCAGAGGGTGGAGGCAGAAGGAACAGTGGAAAAGCTGGTGCGATAGTCCAGGGTCAAAGAGCAGTGAATCTGAAATCAGGCAGAAGAAAGGAGGGTGGAGCGAAGATGAAAGCGGGAACTTCCCCAAGTTCAGACAACATGATGTGGTGGCCGCGGAGAAGAGGGGAACACATGAGGAAGAGGCTGAATGCCACAGGAGTGGGGAGGAGGTGGTGGTGGCTTCTTCATGACACCCCTGTTCTGAGGACCTTAGAGTGAATGGAAGTGGGTTGACTGAGCCAGTCCCATTTGGTCTGAGTTTAACTTGCAGTTATGACCTGGGTCTTCAGAAGTCTTCCATACTACTTAGTAAATAAGCTGCCCACTCACTCCTATGCAGGCTGAAGCATTGTGATTGCTGGTTTGTTTTCAGAAAATATATGTCACTTAAGACAGTCTAAGCTAAACAAGTAAAAAGTTCATATGACCATGACCCAAATAACCAAAGCATAGAGCAATTAGCGACTCTAAACCATTTTCAGAAAATCATCCTCTGGAAAGACAATCACGTATCAAGAACAAAGTTGCAAGATGTCCTTGGGCTCAAGTGTGAAGACCACTATACACCTGAATGGCCAGATGGCTGTGAGTGTTCACTGAAGGACCCGTTTCCCCAGTTTTTCCTCAAGAACTCTAGAAACTAAAACTATGCATTTTGGGCAATATTTCTTCTCTTAAGACATCATGAGAATACAAATTACAATCCATTTTTATTAAATACCGCCTACTTTCCAGGAAATGGGATAAATGCTTGAGGAAAAGGGTACTTATCTATTGAAAATATATTTAATGTGTTTTTTTAACTGAACAGCTAGGAGAGTTTGGGGTTCAGGGAATGATGTCTTCCTCTTCCTCGGCCCACTTATCTCCTACTACAGGACCCTGTACCTCAGCAGCCAGTGCTGCCATCCACAGGTGTCTGCTGCAAACCTCAGGATCTTCATGGCCTCCACTGTGACTCCTCAAACCAGAAAATCCATATGCAGGCCTGATTGCTAAGATTTCTCCAAGCGTCCCGTCCCTTCCATTTCCCCTGCCACTGTTTCCACTGAGACCCTGGGCCTCCTGGTTTCAGACCCTCCACACTCAAGCCTCTTTTCTAGTCTCTGACTCTAAATTGGCCCCACTCCAACCCATCCCTCATCTTGCAGCCAAAATGATCTTTCTACAGCTCATTCCTCTGCTTAAAGAGAATTTGAATAATTCACAACAGCAACTCTTCTGCAGTATTGTTGGGATCTACAACCACTTCGCGAAATGATTTCCCATCACTTTAGTACAGCTGAAAAGTGAGATGCAGCAATGAGAAAGGATGCTCAGAACAGCACATTAATTAACCCAAGAACTGGAGACAATGCAAATGCTCATCAGCTCTACTGTAGAATGATAAGTAGCTTGTGATCCTTAGCACAGGGGCATGAGGTACAGTAGTGAATCTGAATGTCCCTCAGCTACAAAGTCCACAAGAATGAACCTCATATCCACACTGTTGAAACATGAGAATCAGAGGGACATGTGGAGCAGGATGTCATGTGGAATCATGAGGATGTCATGTTGAAACACGAGAATCAGAGGGACATGTGGAACAGAATGAACCTCATATCCACGCTGTTGAAATACGAGAATCAGAGGGACATGTGGAGCAGGATGTCATGTGGAATCATGAGGATGTCATGCTGAAACACGAGAATCAGAGGGACATGTGGAACAGAATGAACCTCATATCCACGCTGTTGAAACATGAGAATCAGAGGACATGTGGAGCAGGATGTCTCAACAACACAAAAGGCAAAACAATGTTATGCTTAGAGACCCGTGCATATGTGATAAAACTAAAATATCAAGGAAAGATAAACCCAAAATGTAGGAAGGGGGTAAGGAAAGTAATTGGGAAGAACTATGGATAGGCTCCCAAAAACTCTGCTAAGGCTATGCTTCTGAAACTAGACATTTGAACCATTGGTTTTCATCTTATTATTATTCCATAAATGGCATTAGTAGGTTTTACATAAATTTTCATGTCTATTTCATAAAAAATAATTTAAAATAAAATAGAAGATAAAAAAGAATTTCAGAGGGATTTCCCCCACCCCTCGGATGAAAGCAGAACTCCTCAGCATGGTCCCCGGGACTTCTGACGACCCCCTTCCTTGTCATCCTCCCATGGGACTGTCCATCTTGGAGCATTCTACTCTCTGCATCAGTTCCCTTAGGAAAGCCACTCCTTCTCATATACATTTGGTGAACTCTCACTAGACTTGGGGATCACTCCAAGATGGAGCCACTGCAGCAGTTGCCAACCCTGCCTGGTGCTCTGCAGGAGCAGGTATCTGTGCTTACTGTGGCCAGAGCCCTGAGCTCCCCTCATGCAGCCTCTCCCCGCCCCTGCCCTGCCTGGGAGCTGAGACCTCAGAGTTTCAGGACTCCATCTCATTCATTTCTAGAAGTAAAGTTGTCACTAGGAAGTCATGTGAGTCATGTGAGCTTTCCTCAGTGAAGGTTTAAGGGGGAAAAAACCAAAGAGGGACAGAAAAGGGGAGTATGGAGGGATAGAGAGAGAAGGAGAGAAGAAAGATTGATTAAATGTGAATCTTTGAATATAAATCTTAGCAACAAATAGTATTTTATCTGCATAATATTTAAAATTAAAAATGATCTATGTAAGAAACATGCAGATGCCAATCAAATACCAGGATCATTCTTTTCAAGAAATATGTTTCTGTATGATTTCTCTGTTAGCTATGGTAATACGTTAATATGTTATATTTAAATTTTTGCTTTCACACTTATTTCCTTACCTTTTAGACCTCTAATTAGCAGAGCATCTGGTAATTAAATTCACACTTGCATCATTCAACGATTCTTCAAAGCAACTGGTACACATTCATGTTGGCCAGTGTCCAGAGTTGAAGAAGAGGTGGACATCTGTAGAACTCCTGGTGCCAGAAGGGAATATAATTGAATTAACATGTTTCCTTTCTCCCAATTTCAAAGGTGCATTGTTCACTACTAATTTTTCCTGTGTTTTTTAAAGGTTATGTCTGCTTAAAATTGGAGGAGTTGATACAATGCAGAACTGTCTTAATTTTGATAATGAATAAAGTATTAAATAATAGAAGGGAATTAATACAATTCAAAGAGCAGCATGCGATGTGAGTCAAACCCACAAATTCATCTCCCTATTTTACACATGAGGAACAATGCGGCCCAATGAATGTCTCACCATCATCACCAAGCTCCTTTCTAATAGAGTGAGGACCAATTGTCTCTCAAGTCACAGTTTAATGCCAACTCCTTTCTATGATTCTAACTTACATAACAATGCTGCGAATAATAAAAAAATAATCAGCAGGTAGAGAACACACAGTGCCAGGGGCAGATTTGAAGCATTTAAGGCATGTGAATTCATCGGACAATCCTGCTGACCTGGGATGGAACACATTCATAATGTCCATGTTACAGTTGTGGGAACAGAGGTGTAGGGTGCATCAGTGCATTGCCCCAAATCCTACTGCTGGCGAGAGGCACCATCAGAATTGAACTCAGGTCTATGTGGCAGCCAGCCTGAACTCTTTCCTATGCAGGAACACAGTGCCTCCCTTACTGATACCGTGCACCTAGGCAAGGCCTCACTTCATCAGGGTGGCTTTCTCTGGGCTCCTGTAACCAGATTTTTTTTTTTTTGGTTGTGGGATGTTTTCAAAAATAGGTGAGAGCAAGAGGTTCAGACTTCTACGTGCAAACAAACAAATAAACAAGTGCTGATTCCATCTAGAAACCTCAAGCTAAAAGCAACATCATCTCTAAGGAATTCACTTTATAGGCATAAGGGAAAATGTGTCATCAGATAGCAGCAATGAAAAGGTGCAGCTGAAAAGGCCAGCCACACCTGTCATCTCTGCTTGCAAATAGATGTGCACATTTGAGATAAAAATAGGCCTCTGGAACCAAGGTTTTAAATGGCTGTACATTTGACGGCTAAGGAGAATCATTTGCATCTACCAGAGCCTGGCATAGTGGCAGAAACAGGAATGAATAATGGAATTGATGGAATGAATAAGTGAATGAATGAGAGTTGGAAAGAACCATAAAGACCATGTTATTTAATCCCTGCTTATGTGTTCTATTCCTTCCCCTGAGGTTTCTAACAAGCATCATAAATCTTGGCTTGAACTCTTCCAGGAACAGGGAGTTAGCTACTATCCAATGCAATGAAATTATTGTTAGAAATTTAAAATTGATGTAAAAGTCCCTCCCCAACTCTTTCTCCCTTCTTCCCTCTCATGCCTACTGACTCTTTACAGAGTAAGTTTGGCATGTATATGACATGGAGGCAATGGAATTATAAAGAGAGAGGAAAGGCTAGCTTTTCTTACCAGCATTAGAAGTCTTGGGTAAGCACAGAAATAATAGGCTTAGGTCAACTAACTAACTAACTAGTCTAATTAGTCAGGGCACGTTGTGAAAGTTCACACAGCCTCCATGGCAGGGTAAAGAAAGACACTTATCTTTTACAGCTGCAAGGTATCTTGCACTTGCACTGAAATTCAGACCTGGGATTTAATTGTAATGATAGCATTGCTGCAAACAGACCTGGATGCATGCTCTTGGCAGATATCCTATGCCAAGGTCTTCCTACTAGGAAGAGTTGGACTCCTGGGTCTAAAACAGGGACACTAGGTGGTTGACACTAAAAATCTTTCTAATTTTATGTTGATGTAAAGGTTTATGTATTAAAATGTATGGATATTAACTATCCAATTAAATGTGTTTTGGTAAATGTGTACACGTCTAACCCGTGTTCCTATCAAGATATAGAATATCTGTCTTCTCAGAAGGTTCTCACATGCCCTCTTCCAATCAATTCCCACCTCTCATAGGCAGCAAATCTTCTGGTGTCTATTACCATAACTTTTTTGTCTGTTCTTGATATTCATATAAATAGAATCATGAAGTTTCTGGCTTCTTTTACTCAGTGTGTTTTTGAGAATTATCCATGCCACCGCATGTATGAGTAGTTCATTTATTTTTATTGTGGAGTAATATCCTATGGGATGGATATACCACACAGTCACTTATCAATTTTCTTGTGGAACATTTGGTTTCATCAGGTTCGGGGTCATTATAAACAAAGCTCTTTGTTATTATACAACTATTTTTGAGAAAATGTATTTAAATTTTTCTTAGTAGAAATATCTAAGAGTAGAAGCACTATACCATAGAATTATATTTATAACTTTACAAGAAACCACCAGACCTTTTCTCAAAGTGGTTGTTCTATTTTATGTTCTCATCAGCAATGTAGGGGAGATCCAGTTGCTCCAAATCCTAAATCGGGCTTGCCAGACTTTTTAATTTTAGCCATTCTAAGGATGTAAGGCGGTATCCCACAGTGGTTTCAATGTACATTTCTCTGATGACTAATGACGCCAAACACATTTTCATACAACTTACCGATCATTCACATGTCTCCCTCTTAAGTGACCATTCAAATTTTGCCCATTTTACATTAGACTGTTTGTTTTCCTATTATTGAATTGTAGAAGGTATTAGTATATTCTGGACACACATCTTTAATATGTGTGTTGTGAAGGCTTTCTCACAGTTTGTGACTTGGATATTCATTTTTTCAATTGTGCCTTTCGAAAAACAGATACTTTTAAATTCAATGAAGTCTAATTTATCAGGTTTTTTCTTCTAGGGTTTGTAATTTGGTGTTCTATCTAAGAAATCTTTGCTTACCTCAGGATCATACAGATTTTTCTATTTTTTTCTAAAATTTATATAATTGTTGATTTTTACATTTAGGTGCATAACCAACTTCAAGTTCACTTTTTTACTGTGGTGTGAGATAAAAACATACAGGGGTATGTTTTTCATACAGATATCCAGTTGCTGCAGCACCATCTATTGAAAAGAATATTCTTATCCAATTGAATGACTGTGACACTTCTGTTGTAAATCAATCGGCTTTATATATGGGAGTCTATGTCTAGCTTATGTATTCTGTTCTATTACCATGTATGTCTACCTTTATGTCAATACGACACTTGATATCCACATCTATATATCTATATCTGTATTTCTGTTCCCCATTCTCTCTCCCCACCTCTCTCTCACTACACAAACACACACATGCATGCACACACACACACACACACACATATCTTGTGTCTATATATTTAAAATAAATTTCTTTTTTTGGGAGAGCATTTGTTTATAAACAGAAGCTCCCTAGAGCTCAGGGCTATAAACCCACCTATGCTGGTGTGGAGGAAGGCCCAAGAAAACGGGGGAAAGAGGATTTATTTTGTAAATTGTTACCTGTGCAATATGAGATGGATTATCAAGCCGTAACACTGCAAACCTCAGTAAATTCTGTTATTTTGACTAGTAACTTCTTTTTATGCAGAGACCAGGGAATGTTGTATCAGGCTGACATGCACAGATCAGGCACAGAAACTGAAGGAAGAGAGACAACAGCAATAGCAGAGGGGCCTAGAAATAAATTAGCACAGTTGAGAGGAGGAGTTGGAGCTTCCACAACCATGAAATTTATATTTTAGGGATCTTACTGAGCTCTCCCAGACCAGAAGACCAGAGAGATTCAGGCATCTGGATGATGCCTGAATATTATTATGCATGTTACAAAGCACTTTCACATAAAGTTTCTCAGCTGATTCTCATAAAAACTTAGGTGAGCTAGGCTGGGTAAGAATTTTCACCCATATGCAGAGGATGGAGCCTGGGAGATCACCATCAGACCATGCCTCTCAGATTTCAATAAAAATTACAAGGCATGCATAAAGGCCAGAAAAGAGCAATGCAAGCATAAGAACCAGAGTAAGAAGTGGCAGAGATTTTTGGAATGATCGGATGGGAATTAAACTATGATGAATGTGTTAAGGACTAAAATGAAAAAGTAGAATATGCAAGATCTGAGAGATAACGTAAGCAAAGACATGGAAACTCTTAAGAGTCAAAAGGAAATGTACAAGTCAAAATAAACCATGGAACAGAAATGAAGAGTGCCTTTGATGAGTTCATCAGTCTAGACTTGGCTGAAGAAAGATTTAGTGGTTGTGAAAATGTCAAGGGAAACTGCACAAACTGAAATGCAAAGAGAAAAAGAGATTAAAGAAAAATCAAAAAGAACAAAACATTCGAGAAGCATGCAAAAATAGCAGAAGATGTAATACGCAGCCAGTTGAAATGCTGAAAGTAGAAGGGAGAGAGGAGGACAAGACATATTTGAAGAAATCATGCCTGAGATTTTCAAAATTAATGACAGACACCAAATAAAGACCATATGCAACAAGCCCACAGGTAACATCATACTCCATCATAATGCAGAGAAGTGGAAAGTTTTTCCTCTAAGAGAGGGAACAAGACAAGGGTGCCTACTTTCACCGCTTCTATTCAACATAGTACTGGAAGTCCTTGCCAGAGCAATTAGGCAAGAGAAAGAAAACAGGCATCCAAATCAGAAAGGAAGAAGTTAAATTGTTTCTGTTTGCAGATGACATGATCTTATATATGGAAAACTCTAAAAATCCACCAAAAAACTGTAGGAACTAATATATGACTTCAGTAAATTCACAGGATACAAAATCACCACTCAAAACTCAGTAGTGTTTTATACACTAACAATGAACTATCTGGAAAAGAAATCAAGAAAACAATCTCATTTACAATAGCTGCAAATAAATACTTAGGCATAAATTTTATCAAGAATATGAAAGGTCTTCACACTGAAAACTAAAAAACATTTATTAAAAAATTGAAGACACAAGTAACTTGAAGATATCCTGTTCAGGGATTGTAAAAATTATTATTAAAACGTTCATACCATACCACCCCAAGTGATATATAGATTCAATGCAATCCCTATCAAAATTTCAATGACATTTTTTAAGGAAATAGAAAAAAATCCTAAAAATTGTATGGAATCACAGAAACCTCTAATTATCCAAAGCAAAAAAAAAAAAAAAAAAAGCTGAAAGCATCACATCTACTACCTACAGATCTCAAAATCTACTATAAGGCTATAGTAAACAGCATGATAATGGCATAAAAACAATACACATAGACAAATGGAACAAGGTAAATACCCCAGATATAAATCTATACATTTATAGTCAGTTGATTTTTGACAAGGTTACCAAGAACACCCAATGGGAAAAGGACAGTCTCTTCAATAAATGGCATAGGAAAAACTGCATACCCACATGCAAAATAATAAAATTAGATGCTCATCTCATACCATACACAATAATCAACTCAAATGGATTAAAGACTTAAATATAAGATCTGAAACTGTAAAACTATTAGAAGAAAACATAGGGGGGGAAGCTCCATGATATTGGTCTGGGAAATAATGCTTTTTGGCTATGAACCCAAAAGTGCAGGCAACAAAAGCAAAAATAGACAAGTGGGACTACATCAAACTAAAAAGTTTTGGCACAGCAGAGGAAACAATCAAAAGAGTAAAGAGAAAACATACAGAATGGGACAAAATATTTAGGTTAATATCCAAAACATACAAGGAACTCAAACTACTACTCAACAGCAAGGAAATAAACAACCCCCTTAGAAATAAACATTTCTCAAAAGAAGACATACAAACAGCCAAGAGATCTATGAAAAAATGCTCAACATCACTAATCATCAGGGAGATGAAAATCAAAACCACAATGAGATTATCACCTCACATCTGTTAGAATGGCTACTATAAGAAAGATGAAAGATAAGAGTGTTGGAGAGGATAGGAGATAAAAAGGAACCCTTGCACACTGTTGGTGAGAATATAAATTAATAGAGCATTTGTGGAAAACAGTATGAAAGTTCCTCAAAAAAACTAAAAGTTGAACTACCATATGACATAGAAATTCCACTACTGAATATATAGCCAAAGGAAATAAAATCAGTATTTTGCAGCAATATTAGCACTCCCATGTTCATCACAGCATTATTTATGATGGCCAAGATATGGAATCAACCCATATGTCCACAAATGGATGCTTAAGACACACACAGAAAATGTAGTCTATACGTATAATGGAATACTATTCAGCCTCCAACAAGATGGAAATCCTGTCATTTGTGATAACATGGATGAAACTGAAGGACATTTTGTTAAGTAAAATAATCCAGGCACAGAAAGACAATCCACACAATCTCATTCATATGTGGAATCTAAAAAATTGGAACTCACAGAAGTAGAGAGTAGAATGGTAGTTACCCTAGGCTGAGGAAGGAGAAGATGGGGAGATGGTGGTCAGAAAACACAAAACTTCAGTTAGGCAGGAGGAATAAATAAGTTCAAGAGATCTGTTGTAAATTGTGGTGACTTCAGTTAATAACAATATATTATATCTGTGAAAATTACTAAGACAGTACATTTAAAAGTTCTCACCATAAAAAAAATGACAAGCATATGAGGTAATGCATATATTTAGTAGCTTGATTTAGCCATTCCACAAGGTATACATATATCAAAACATGTTGTACACTATAAATATGTACATTTTTTCTTGTCAATTAAATAAATATTTTTAAATGACAGACATCAAATCAGAGACACAGAAAGTTCAAAAATGCCAAACAAAGTAAATACCAAAAAGTCTACACTTAGGCATACCATTTTCAAACTGTAGAAATCCAAAGGCAAAGAGAAAATCTTTAAAGAAGCCATTAAAAAGCAAATCTTATCTATACAGGGACAAGGATAAGAATTACATCATGCAAGCAAGAAGAAAGTGGAATAAAACATTTAAAATGTTGAAAGAAGTAAAGAAAAAACACCAACTTAGAATTCCATATCCAGTGAAATTATCTTGCAAAAGTAAACAAGAAATAAACTGTCATAAAACAAACCTGAACAAATGTTGCAAAAATAGAAACCATACAGGGTATGTTCACAGGCCAAAACTGAATTAAATTAAAAATCATTAACAGAAATATTCCTGGAAAATTTGCAAATATTTTAAGATTAAACAACACACTTCTAAAGAGGGCATGGGAAGAAAAGGTGTCTCAAGAGAATTAATCCAACATCCCACTTAGGGAATTAGCAACAGGAGATCTTTTTGAGATGGGGTCTTGTCTGTCACCAGGCTAGAGTGCAGTGGTACAGTAAGGTCTCACTGCAGCCTCAAACTCCTAGACTCAAGCAATCCTCCCATTTCAGTCTTCTGAGTGCCTGGGATTATAGGAATGCATCACCATGCTCAGTAAATTTTTTTATTTTATTTTTTTGTAGAGACAGAGTTCAACAGAGTTCCTGTTGTTTTCCATATCCTCACTAACATTTTGTATTGTCATTTTTTAAAATTTTAGCTATTCTAATACTTTCTCTGTTTAATGGTCACTGAGTGTGGTTTTAATGAGCGACCACTATATTGCCCAGGCTGGTCCAACTCCTGGCCTCAAGCAACCCTCCAACCTCAGCCCTTCAAAGTGCTGGGATTACAGGCTTGAGTCACCATACCCAGCCAGGGGATCATTTTAAGCTTAAAGAAGCAAAGGGAAAACAATACTAAATATTGGAGCATAAATAAGTGAAATTGAAAACAAAGCAATGGAGAAAATCAACAAAACCGAAGATGGTCATTTGAAAGGATAATTAAATTGATAAACCCCTAGCTATGCCAACTAAGAGAAGATACAAATTACCAACATCAAAAATGAAAGAAAGATCATCACTAATGACTTTATGGAGATTAAAGGAATAATCAGGAATACTCTGCACAAATCTATACCTACAAACCTGATCATCTAAATTAAATGGACCAATTCCTTGAAAGACACAAAGTATCCAAATTCACAAAAGGAGAAATAGATCACCTGAATAGAACTGTATATATTTAAAAATTAAATAAAAAATGTAAAACTTTCTGAAAAGGAAACCATCAATGGTTACACTGGCAAATTTTACCAAGAAATTAAAAAGGAAATAATACCAATTCTCCACAACATCTTCCAGAAAATAGAAACAGAGAGAATATTCCTAACTCATTCTCTGAGGCCAACATTACCCTAATACCCAAACCAGACAGACACATCAAAAGAAACAAAAACTACAGACTAATATCCCTAAGATAGGTGCAAAAATTCCCCAAAAAATTCATACCAAGTCCAGCAATATAGGAAAAAATTATATTCCATTGCTTAGTGGGATTTATTCTAGGTATGCAAGGTTGGTTCAGCATTCAAATACTAGTCAATGTAATCTACTACATAAACACAAATTAAAAATTATGTCATGCCAGCTGACCAGAAAAATAATTGAACAAAATCCAAGTCCTGTTCATGATAAAACTCTCAAAAAAAGAAACTAGAAAAATAAGAAGAACTTTCTCATTTTGATAAGGAATATCTACAAAACCTTCAGCTAACACACTTAATGGTAAAAAATCAGGACACTTTCCACCTGAAAATAAACACAAGACAGAATGTCCTTTCTTACCACTCCTATTCAACATCGTGTTTTAAGAGCTAGCTAGCTCATAGCAAATGAGAACAAAATAAAATAAAGGAATAAAAGTTGAAAAGCAAGAAGTGAGATGGTTTTTGTTTGTAGGTATCATGACTGTCAATGTAAAATATCTAAAAAAAAATTGAACCAATAACGACAAAACTCCTCGAATTAGTAAGAAATAAGTGATTATAGCAAGTTCAGAGACACAAGAGTAATATACAACAGTCAATTGTTTTCCTATATACAAGCAGGAAACCACTGGAATTTGAAATTTAAAATACCATACACAATGGTATTCAAAAGGAGAAACCCTTTGATATGAATGTTAACAAAATAAGCACAGGATCTACTAGGGAGGAAACTGCAAACATCTAATGAGATAAAGGAAGGTTTAAATACTTCATTTTATGGACTGGAAGACAATACTTTCAGATGCTAATTCTTTCCAACTTGATTTATGGACTCAATCCATTCTCAATAAAAATTATACCAATATATTTTGTAGATACTAATCTGATTTTGAAGTTTATTATCAAAGTCAAATACCTAGAATAGCCAACAAAATGCTGAAGAAGATAAAGTTGGAGGACTCACACTACCCAATTTCAAGATTTATAAAGGTACAATAATCATGACAACATGGTATTGGTGAAACAATGAGAACATAGACCAATGTAACAGAATAAAGACCCCAAAAATAGACCCACACAAATATAGTCAATTAATCTTTGACAAAGGAGCAAAGTCAATTCAATGGATAAAGGAGAGTCTTCAACAAATGCTGTTGGCGCAATAGAGTATCAATACATTAACAACAACAAAATGAACCTAGACACAGATGTTACACAAGATTTTGCATAGAACTTACACAAAATTAATTCAGAATGGGTCACTGACCTAATTCTAAAACACAAATCCATGAAACTTCTGGGAGAAAGTGGGAAAGTCTAGATGACCTTGGGTTTAGAGATGAGTTTTTAGATACACCGAAGCATGATCCATGAAAAAAATTTTGATAAATTGAACTTGATTAAAATTGACAACATCTGCTATGCTAAAGACACTGGTAACAGAATCAAAAGGCAAGCCAGAGACCTGGAAAAAATGTTTTCAAAGTTTACATCTGATAAAGAAGTCATATCCAAAATATACAAAGAACCCTTAAAAGTCAACAGTAAAAATACGGACAGACACCTCAATGAAGAAGCCAGAAAGATGGGAAAGAACATACTAAAAGATTTTCAACATCATTTGTCATTAAGGAATTACAAATTAAGACCACAATCAGCTGCCATTAAGTAGAGAAAATATTAGAATAGCTAAAATTTAAAAAATGACAATACAAAATGCTGGTGAGGATATAGAGAACGGGAACTCTATTGAACACTGAATGAATTCCATTCCTTGTTAAGAATGCAAACTGAAGCCAGGCACAGTGGCTCACACCTATAATCCCAACACTTAAAGAGGTCAAGGTGGGAGGATGGCTTGAGCCCAGGAGTTTGAGACCAACCTGGGCAACATAATGAGACCTCGTCTCTAAGAAAAATCAAAAAATTAGCTGTGCATGGTGGCATGAGCCTGTGGCCCCAGCTACTCAGAAGGCTGAGGTGGGAGGATGGGCTTGAGTCCAGGAGGCAAAGGCTGTGGTGAGCTATGATCATGCCACTGCACTCCAGCCAGTGGGACAGAGTGAGACCCTGTCTCAAAACCAAAAAAAAAAAAAAATGCAAAATGGTACAGCTAAGTGGAAAGAAATTTTGGCAATTTTTTACAAGGCTAAACATAGTCTTAACAAGTCAGCACTCACACTCCTAGATATTTACCCAAAAGATTTTGAAGCATATATCCATAAAAACATGCACATTAATGTTTATAGCAGCTCTATCCATAATTGCCAAAAAATGGAAGCTGCCATGATATCTTTCGATAGATGAATGGATTTAAAAACTGTGGTATTATCTATAGAGCAAAATATTATTTAATGAGAAAAAAGGAAGGGAGCTACAAAGGGCATGGTTGAATCTCAAATATATATTCTCAAGTGAAAGAAGCCACTTAGCTGCAAAGAAGCCAGTCTCAAAAGCTACATACTGAATGATTGCAATTATGTAACATTCTGGAAAATGCAGAACTATGGAGACTATGAAAGATCAATGATTGCCAGAAGTTGGAGAGAATGGTGAAGTAGGGTGAATAGGCAAGCCATGGTGGATTTTTGTTACTATCATAAAACTATTTTGTAGTATGTATTTATGGATACATGAAATTATGCATTTGTCAAGTCCATTGAATTTTACAACACAATGAGTAGGCCTTGTGTATTAGTCAGTGTTCTCTGGAAGGACAGAACTAATGGAATATAAATATAATATATATATGGGAGTTTATTAAGTATTAACTCACAGGATCACAAGGTCCCACAATAGGCTGTCTGCAAGCCGAGGAGCAAGGAGAGCCAGTCCAAGTTCCAAAACTGAAGGACTTGGAGTCGGATGTTTGAGGACAGGAAACAGTCAGCATGGGAGAAAGATGTAGGATAGGATGCTAGGCCAGTCTCTCTTTTCATATTTTTCTGCCTGCTTATATTCTAGCCGAGCTGGCAGCTGATTAGATTGTGCCCACCCAGATTAAGGGTGGGTCTGCCTTTCCCAGTCCACTGACTCAAATGTTAATCTCCTTTGGCAACACCCTCATAGACACACCCAAGATCAACACTTAGTGTCCTTCAATCCAATCAAGTTGACACTCAGTATTAACCATCACACTTTGGTTATGCAAAATTTTTAAATGATTTATAGATTGGGGAATCTCAGTATGGAATGAAGGAAGTGACAAAACCAGCTAACTTTATTACATACATTTGAAACAATGTCACTGAGGGGGAGAAATACTGACCTAAGTTACTTTAAAATGAATGGAGTCTGTATAATAAAGGCAAAAAAAAGCACTGTACTCTATTGAATAAAGCTGTTGCCCATGAAAGTATGGGTTAACAAGTCTAATACTGCTATACATGTATGCTGAAATTTAGCAAGTAAATAAATGAATATGGGCAGTGAAAACCAGGTTTCTCAGATGGGAATTTACATATAAGCAAGGGGAGGGGGCTAGAATGATGGTGTGGTGATGGATTAGATTTAGAGTTATCAGTAGGAACATAGTTTAGCTTAATGTGGACTCAGTGGGTACATATAGAAATGTGTGTGTGTGTGTGCGTGCGCGTGCACGTTAGTGTGTGTCTACACATCGGTTAGTACCCTCAGTTATATTTTCTTGTGCTATCAGCTGAGATAGCAACTACCTAGCAGCAACTACATCCCAGTAGCAATGAGCACATTTAACACCAGGTCCTGGTTTCCAATACCGTCTCCAATAAACAAATCCTCCTTGGAGGATTGGCTGATTACATGTCCATAGCAAATAATATACAGGATGAGCCTGGAGCATGTTAGCCTGGAGCCAGAAAGGAAGAAAGTGGACCAAAAAAATGGGAGCTTGTTAAAAAGAGCAAAGAAAACCTGAGAGAGCTCTCAATAGCCAAATGTAAAGCAATTTGGGCAACAGAATAAAGAAGTTTTTGATAACCTAAACCATAGATTTCCATAAGTCCATACTGAGATCCATGATTTAATGAATAAATAGAAAAAAAAATGGAAAATCTCACATGCAGAAGAATTTCAAATAATTTATGCAGGGTCCACTTTCAAGGAGATGAAGCTTGACTCCCACTCCTCAAGTACAGGTTGTACATAGTGACTTCCACCCAAAGAGTATGCTTTGGAGAAGGCGAAAGAAGAACTTTACAGTGGAGAGGCTTGATAATCATGACCTCAGCCAGCTGAGTAAGGTCAATGTCAACGGTGGTGAGTCATGTTGAAGTGATGTGCCCCTGATATGATGTGATAAAAATAACTGTTTATTTCTGTAGTCTTCCTACCAATAACGCATAAATTGAGTCTAATAGAAAAAAATCAGAAATCCAAATTGAGGAACATTCTATAAAATACCTGACTAGTCCTCCTCACAACTGTCAAGGTTATCAAAAACAAGGGAATTCCGAGAAACTGTCACAACCAACAGGAGCCTAAGGAGACATAATGACTAAATGTAATGTGGGAAGCCAGATGGAATCCTGGAAATGAAAATAGACATTAGATACAAACTAAGGAAATCCATACGAAATCTGTTCTTTAGTTAATAATCTATCAATATTGGTTCATTATTTACAACAAATATACCACTCTAATATAAGATAATCTTAGGAAAAACAGTGAGAGAATTCTTCTAGCCATCTTTACAAGTTTACCATAAACTGAATACTGTCCCTTAAAATGTTTATTTAAAAAACCCTACAACAAATATAATAAACAATGGTGAAAGAGTGAATGTTTTTCCCTCAAGAGTGGCAAAAATCCAGGCATACCCACTCTCACTGCTCTTATTCAACATCCGACTGGAAGTCCTAGCAATAGGGCAAGAAAAGGAAATAAAAGGCATACAAATCAAAAAAGGAAAACATAAAATTGTCCCTATTTTCACATGACTTGTCTACCGAGAAGATCCCAAGGAATCACCCAAAAACCCTCTAGAACTAATAAGCAAGTTCAGTAAGTTTGTAGAATAAAGATCATCACACAAAAATTAATTGCATGTGTATATACAAACAACAAACATGAGGAAACCAAAATTAAAAAGCAAATATCATTTACTGTCGCTCAAGAAAAAAGAGAGAGAGAGAAGGGAACTAACTAGAGGTTTAGCAAAACAAGTATAGGACCTGTATGTCGAAAGTTACAAAATACTGATAAAAGATGTTAAAGAAAATTTAATAAATATAGAAACATACCAGGAGCATGGGTTAAGAGATTCAATATACCAAAGATGTCATTTCTGCCCAAATTGACCTACAGGTTTAATATACTCTTATAAAAAATCCCAGTGATAGTTCTTGTAGACATAGACAAGCTTATTGTAAAACATAAATAGAAAGCCAAGGAACTAAAATAGCTAAAGCAATTTTGGAAAAAAAAAAAAAAAGAATGAAGTAGCAGGATGTTAAGATTTACTGTATTACCACAATGATTGAGACAGTAGAGTATTGTTGGAGACAGGCACCAATGTGACTGTCAATGGAGCACACTAATGAACTTATAAACAGATGATAACAACTGGGTTTTGACAGACAAAAGTAATTTAATATAAGAAGGGTATTTTCGATAAATGGTGTTGCAAAAGGTGGAAATCCATAGGCAAAATAAACAAGTAAGTAGATGATACATAGGTGATAGATAGATAGATGATAGACAATAAATAGATAAGAGGCAGATAACCTCAACATAAATCTCACACCATCTATGTACAAAAATTAAAAATATGTCATGGAATTAAGTATAAAATATAAAACTATAAAATGTTCAGACCTATGTGACAGTTCTAGGACTTGACACCAAAAGCACAATTCATAAAAAAATTGATTAGACTTCACTAAAATTTGACAAATTAGATTTCATCAAATTTAAAAATTTGGGGTAGGATAGGGGAGTAGTGAGGATGATTCATGGGTACAAAAAAATAGAAAGAATTGATAAGACCTAATTTTCGATAGCACCACAGGGTGACTATAGTCAATAACAATTTAACTGTATATTCTAAAATAACTTAAAGAGTGTAATTGGTGGTGTGAACCTGTGGTCCCAGTTATTAGGAAGGCTGAGGTGGAAATGTCACCTGAGCCTGAGAGGTGGAGGTTACAGGGATCCAAGATAGTGTCACTGCACTCCAGCCTGGGTGACAGAGTGAGACCCTGTCTCAAAAAAGAGAGAGAGAGAGACAGAATGTAATTGGATTGTTTGTAACTCAAAGGATAAATGCTTGGGGGGATGGAAACCCCATTCTCCATGGTGTGCTTATTTCACTTTGCATACCTGTATCAAAACATGAACCCCATAAATATACATACCTACCTACTGTGTACCCACAAAAATTAAAAATTAAAAAATTTAAATTTGAAAACTGGCACCATGAAAGAAAGAGGAGAAAAAGACAGGGTAGAGACTAGGAGACAGTATTTGCAAACCACATATTTAAAAAAGCTCTTAATCACTTTATGTATAAAAAGAGCTCTTAAAATTCAACAGTTAAAAAAATACAGTCCAGGTAAAAAGTGGAAAAAGACATGAAGAGACATTGCATCAAAGAGTAAATACAGATGGCAAATAAACACATAATGCAGGAGTTTATGTCTAGTTGTAACTAGTTCAAAATGACTAGCCTTTAGGGAAATGCAAATTTCCCTGATAGTGAGAAATCTCTATCAGAATGGCTAAAATGAAAAAAAAAATAGCACCAAATGCTGGCGAGGATGTGGAGAAATTAGGCCTCCTAGGAAAGGCACTACATTCCTAAAAATAATAGTCTCTAAACAAGCTCTCTGGCTTTGTACAAATTCCAACAAAATAAAACTTTTTTTTCCTTTACCAGCTCCTAACACGCAAGCTTGATATGATCCTGCACAATCTCCAATATCAGACAATCAAAGAGCTCCTCTTACTTTTATTAAAAAGAGCAAAGAGATAAAAATCCTAGCCACATCGTAAGATGGGAGTTCAAGGAGAAAATGAACAAATCCCCCCTTATAAAGCAGATTTACTTGAAGAAACAGGAGAAAACTAGAGAAAGGCTTAACATTTTATTGAGATTTGGTGAAAAAAAACTATTGGACCATGAATTAATTTTTAATGTTGGTGAAAACTAGCAAATTTCTCAAATGAAGTTGAGGCAGTAAATAGCAGGTTAGGATACAGAGAAAAAGAAAGGAAATACCAGATTACTAAATACCCCAGAACAAAAAGAAAAAGTTTAAACATTATAAGATAAGTAAGTATATAAAGAATAATACAGGGAGATCAGAAAGCCAATGCAATTTATGTGGTAATTTCAACTAAACAAACAAAAATATATAGTTAAGAAAGAGTAATCAAATTACAAATATGGGAAAATAATCTCTCAATTGAAAATATCAGATTCAAAGGAACTGTCATATTCTAGATGGAATTAATGGGGAGTAGCCAAACCTAGATGTTCCTTAATTAAATGTTCCAATTTTAAGGTTAAGTGAAACTTGGCAAGTCCTTGGAATATACAAATGCATCAATTCACTGGTCATTTAAAGTGACCTGCAAAGGAAAGCAACTGTATTGATACCATCATCCTCAAACATCAGATATCAAACGTCAGTGTCAAACATCCTCAAATGTAGACGACCACGGAGCGATACTTAAAGAATTTTGAAGCAAAAATACTTTTTAAATTTTCTTAAATTTTAATAGTTTCGGGGGTACAGGTGGTTTTTGGTTACACGGATAAATTCTTTAGTGGTGATTTCTAGGAATTTTTAGTGCACCCATCACCTGAGCAGTGTGGTCTTTTTTCCAATGTGTAGTCTTCTATCCCTCATTCCCCCTCCCAATCTTCTCTCCTCAGTCCCCAAAGTCTTTTACAACATTCTTATGCCTTTGCATCCTCATAGGTTAGTTCCCACTTATAAGTGAGAACATACGGTATTTGGTTTTCCATTTCTGCTTACTTCACTTAGACTAATGACCTCCAGTTCTATCCAAGCTGAAGCAAAAATATTCTGATATAAGTATTCTTAAATTACTTATTTGAACCCAAAAGGAAGACAGCTTTAGATGTGCAGAAAAACTGAAATTATGTGTGCCAGTGTTTCACCCTGAAAAGAAAATTCTCAAAGAAATTATCCAGCTGGTGGTGAAATAAAATAAAATAATGAATTCAAAAAGATATTTTATAAAAATGGATAGTAATGAGCAAAGCACAATTAAGTTCTACACAAATCAAAATGTTCTAACACAAGTAAATGGTCACAAATATGAAAAGAGAAGATGCATGGTACACAATTTAATTAATTATAATAGTATTTGAGATAAACCATAAATGCTACATAGAAAAATTTAGAGTGACCAAAGTTATGTTTAGAGAAAAATTAATCACCTTACTGCTTTTTTGGACTAACAAACAACAGTAGCTTTAAATGAATGAACTAAAAATTTTAATTTAGAATGTTTTTAATTCACTAAAAAAATAAGAATTTTAAAACTAAACTAAAATAGTAATGAGTTAGAAAATGGAAAATAGATAAATCAATAGATCTAAGAACAGGCTTGTTCAAAAGCACAAAAGTAATACAAAACAATACTATATCACAAAATAGCATGGGAACAATGGAAAAGATACAAATGTGTAACACTGAGAAGTGAATAAGCGGACAACCAAAAAATCCAAAGAATATTACATATATGTATAGATCTCTATAATATAGTAGTAAAATATCAATTTTCTGATAACAAATAAAGTTCTACGTTCTCTTAGTATAATTTCCCACTCAGTTCACTGTGAAGTAAAATCCCAGGTGGACAACATACGAGCTCTGTGGAAACCTCGGCAGACGTAGTGAACCCAGAGCAAATCAACATAAGTGTCTTTTCAAGGGCTGGACAACTCTTACATGAAGTGACCTGGAAGAAATAGGGTCCTGTTGGAGCTGGCAGAGTTCCTGGAGTATTTGGAGCCTTTTCTGCTTTTCCCTCCATGGGGGAAAACATTAGTTTTCCCCACTCCCCACTTTAGTGGGTTGAAATGTGACAACCATCCCCTCCGACCCCAGCAAAGACGACATGTCCATGACCTAACCCCCGCAATCTCAGAATGTGACCTTATTTGGAAAAAGAGTTTTTGCAGGTGTCATTAAGTTAAAGATCTCAAAAAGGGATCATCCGAGATTACACAGATGGGTCCTAAATCCAATGACTTGTGTGCTTATGAGAGAAAAAAAGGGAGATTGAGACACAGAGAATAAGGCCATGGGAAGACAAAGGCAGAGATTGAGGATGTGTCTACAAGCCAAGGGACCCAAGGGTTGCTGGCAGCCACTACAAAGTTGGAAGAAGCAAGGACGGATTCTCCTCTAGAGCCCCCAGGAGCATGGCCTTGCTAACAAGTTGATCTCAGACTTCTGGCCTCTAGAACCATAAGAGAATAAAATTTCATTGTTGTAAGCCCCCAATTTGTATAATAGTAATTTGTTACAACAGTCCAAGAAAATTCACACACTGCCCAAAGTCAGAGGGCCCTGAAAATACCTCCCAGGATGGTGTGGGTATGCCCACGTCTCTTGCAGAGACTTCCTAAGTCCATGGCTCATAAATGTCCTGAGCCAAACATGCACAAAGGACTGCGCAACCACACAACTGGGGTGGAGGACACTAATGCCAGTGAAGCCTGCAGAGCAAGACTGGTCAGGGATATCCACATTTCTCTAAGGCCCAGGGGAACAGGTCCCAAGGAGACACCTGGCAAAGTGAAGCATCCAAGTCAATTGCAGGGAAGCGTCTCCCAGACGTCAGGGAGGAAGAGGCCAGGTATTTGGTATTTGAAGGGTTGTCCACATGGGGCCTCTGAGGCACAGACCCGCCCAGTCCTCTGGACAACAGTGATGCAGAGTGGGCAGGCAGTCTGCAGAGGAGGGGCACAGTCCTGGGCAGAGGCTCCTCGCTACTTCAGGCTGGATGTAAACCTCTCTCTTCTTTCTCATTGCTTTTATAGGAACCATGGGGAGAAGCTTAGTCTCAAAGGATACAGCAGAAAAATGACTTCAAGTGGACAGTGCCTGGTAACAACAATACTTGCATTGGGATAACCATTTGCCTAAGAAATACAGTTCTCAACTGAAAGCCACTAAAAAGTTAACAGACAGCACTGACGTCACTAGATTGCATTATTATTAGAGCTATTTGCTGCTGTGTTGGAACACAAGTGGGAGGGAGAAGTTCACATGGTTATAAAAGCAAAGTGATTTGCATCTTTTCTTGGCAGTGTATGTTCACACCTGCTACACTAATACGCTTTAACATCTTGTTGAAATAGATACGTTTTCAGGGAACAAACTTCCAAAATGTATTCAGAAAAATATAGAAAGCCCGTGACCAAAACTTCCAAAAATGCAGAAAAATACAGAAAACAAGTGACCATGAAAGAAATTGTACAATTACTCTAGAGGCTCAATGATTGCACAGTGAACTTCAGCAAGACTGCTGAGAACAGGTAATTTAAGAGATTCCAGTTGTTCTCCTGCAGCACAAAAGATGAATAATTTTCAAGTCAACAGGAAAAAGGATCTCCCAGGAGAAAACCAGGCAATGGAACACGAACAGACAATTCACAAAAGAAGAAATTCAGATGTTCCATAACAATAGGAAAACAGATAAAAGGCGAGTCATGATATTCCCATGTTGAAATGCATCAGTTCACAACAGGAGAGCCTTAATGTGGATGAATGTGCCGTCCTCGTGGCGGGTTAAACACTAAGTACAGGACAGGAGAAGCATACGTGAGCAGATCTACACCTGACACCCTCTCGGGATGGGACTCTGTTGTGGGTATTGAATGGGTTCGCCCCTTTCAGAACTCAGGGGAGCAGACTGCTGCTGCGACAATCAGCTTCCAGCGCCTGGTCCTGAAAGACCATTGCTAGCAGACTCGCTCCTGGGAACCTGACCCCACAGCTCATCCCAGGAGAAAGAAGATGCTCTAAATCTCACGATTTCAACACTATGATAATAAAGGCCTTAGAAAGAAAAGTTTTCACCCAGGAAACAAAGACGTGGCCGAGCTGGGGAGGGAATACCCTTTACTCTCCCAGGTGGATGGAGCTGACTCTGACTGCAGGATTCAGGATCAGGCCAGGAGCTCCCTAGAGGGATGGCAGCATCTCTGTGAGTGACAAAGAGGCAGAATCATCCAGTTGCCTTCAAAACGGGCAGGGAGAACCAGCATGGCCACAAAGGGACAGCAGCCATCTCAGGGGCCATGTGTTCATCACACCTGTTCCCTCTGGTGCAGCCATGGCGGCCTTCTCCAGGACTAAGGGCCACTTGCCGATTCCTGCCTCGGGGACTTGACCACTTCCTTCCTCTGGGAGCCTGTCTTCCCCACCCTTCGCAAGGTTTACTCCCCACTTCACTGGGCTGTCTGCCGAAAGAGCCCTTCTCCACCCACTGGCCCTCCCTTGTGTCCTGTTAGTTGGTCTCCACAGTAAGGAGCCCGGCCAGACACTTATTCAGGTGTCTCCTTTCTGCCTCCCACCACAAAAGGGAAGGTCACCTGAGGCATGAATTTGGGGATTGGGGCTATGCTCCAGCACCTCCTACATGAAGTTACTTGATACATATTTGTCGAATAAACCAATCAGTGCGTCCTTTAAAATGTGTTATAAGCACTTGGTGGCTGAAAAAAATGTCCTGAAAATAATGCTGTAAAATGATATTATCTACTAACAGTTATACAATAAACATGGTTAAGAAGAGCAGTGATTTTGTCAGCTCACTTTTGCTGGTAGGAACATGTACATACCTCACACAATTTATGCTGGGGATGGGAGCTGTATTTACAGCATTGGATTTTACATGGAGGAGTTGTAGAATGAAGGGCTTACTTCTCAGTTGCCGGCCAGGTAACTCTAGCGAGACTCTCAGCTCCCTGAGCCTCTTCATCTCTGTCATTTTTCATAGGGATGATAAGACCCAGATGAGACGAGGGCTGTGAAGCCCTAGGCATGGTGCCTGGCCAGTCTCTACTCACTGTCAAGCTGAGTCTCCACAGACTGGTGGAATAGCCCTGGGGATGCTGCAAGCTGCCCTTTGTCCTGCAGCTCAGCTTCCCAGGACCGTCTCAGTGTCCTGATTTATTCACGTGATATTTGTTCTTGTCTTCAGATTGCAGCCTCCAGATTGACCCTGTGCTTCTTGAGCTTCTGCATATTTGCCCTTGGAATCCTCAGAGATGTCATCCACAGCCCCAAATAAGAGCACTTCCAAGGCCCTCTCCCTCCGGGACCCCAATGGCAGTGGGGTTGGATGCACTCCTCCCGCTCTCCCTTGAGCATTCTTTTCCTCTTAAGCGGCATTTTCCATTGTGGGATCAATACTTCCTTACCCTCAACTGAGACTGGCCTTCTCCCAGCACCAGCTGCACCCATTGCTCTCTGAACCGTCCACTCTGCCCTTGGAAATTGCAAAGAAAAAATTAGAAGGCAATGATTATCACAAATTATCCTTCCAGACTAGATGTTTTCATGCCCTCCCAATGCTCTTCCAGTAGTAGGACTTTCAGACTGCTTGTTATCAGTTTTATTAGTAAGTTCTTCTCATAGTACCCAGTAAAGCAGGTTTCTGTTCACTAGTTGTCATCTGAAATAACTGGTCTTTTAAAAACATCAATGTGGTCTGAATTTCTCTGCTCCTCTGAGGTCAGTCTAAGGACACTGACGACCCCACTGACTATCAGTGTCCCCGTAAGAGGAGCGCTTAGCTTTGCTGTGGTGAGTGGCCCCCAGTCAAACCTGAGAAACAACGTGAACAGAACGCAGGACATGGAAGCTATTCCGTGAATATTTAGGAATACAGTAGCTCACATATACAGGAAAGTGACTCTCTATGCACCTGATCCACTGCCTTGGATTTGCTGTTTTGCAGAAATTTGCATTTTCTTCTATACACATTTATGCCAAACTGTTATATCTGAGGAAAGATGCTAGGCACAGGGTGATAATAAGGTTATTTGAAGATTAATAATTCTCTTTTGTGCAAAGGAAAAGGAAAGAGATTAAATGACTTGAGAAAAGTGTATAAAATTATACCTTACTTAAATCTTTAATCATACATTCAATGATTTCGTCTCTGCCTGAAAAGGGGTTGTTTATTCCAACTCTTAGATTTTGTTCCTGAAGAAAGTTCAAGGAGAGAGAGAGTACATGTACTCCTCAACATTCCTTTCAAGATTCATTCTTAATTTGTTACCTTAATGAGTTGTACATATATATGGGAGAAATTCAGACCTAGATAGCAGCCAGCACTGAGTTAAGTCTTTTCCATACCCTGGTCCTCAGCTTCTCAGAACAACATCTGGAAGCATCAATGACTGTCCACTTTCTCTGTGTCCTTAGAGATATAGTCTAAGCAGAGACAAACAAGTAACAGTTCCCTTTCTCTTTTTATGTCTCAAGCTAAATATTAGTACCTTATTGTGGCTTGTTTTTTGTTTGTTTGTTTAACAAATAAATCTTGGTGAAGATTCCATATCATTCCATAATAACTGCTTCACACGTTTTCCCTGCTGCATCATACTGTATAACATTATTAATGGCTGTTCCATTGCTAATTTAACTCCATGAAATTGACAGCAATGGTACACTAGTATTCTTATGCATTTGTCATTTCAGGCATGAGTTAAAAGTTTCTACAGGATAATCCTCAAAGGTAAAATTGTGGCAAAATAGGGTGTTTTTGCTTTGATAAATACTATCAAGTTACTCTCCATAGATAATTTATCAACTTATACATAAATTTATGAGAGGATCTAATTTATTTTTTTCTCAATAAATGCTTTTTTTAAAAAATAATGCTTTTTTAAAAATAATGCTATTTTTCTCAATAAATTCTTTTTCTCTACCAATTTCTTAGGTGTTAAAAAAGAAAACAGTTTTTCTTGCTGTTTTGAGGTTGAGCCTATTGTCAAGTACTTAAATGTTTCTGTGTCATTTCTGCAAGCTGTCTGCTCCTGCTCATTGCACATGTGTCTAGAAGGTTTGGTTTTTCCTTTTCCAGGGGACATTTTAATGTCTAGTTAATTCACTCTTTGTCTGCAATAAGAAGTGCAAATGTATTTTCTGCATTTGCATGTGTCTTTGGGCTTTTTCTTTTAACCATGAAGAACATTTTATTTTTTATGTAGTCAAATTTATAAAATTCTTCTAGAATGGCTTGTAGGCAAATACATGCTATCTTCACTGTACAATTGTTAAAGACAGTGTTTTTACATTGTTTACTTCTAGTACTTTTAGACCATAACTTTGTATTTAAATTTTATTTTGTTACAAGACTAAACTCCTTTTTCCAACAGGCCACAAGGTGGTCTCAATGTCATTTATGGAAAGTCTCTCATTTCCCCACTGATAGTCCAGACGATATGTTTCTGTTTGTGTTGTTTATTTTGGACTTTATTCCATTCCATTGTTCAGACTACTTCTTCATGCATTTCTACCACACTGATTTAATTACGTAACTTGACAATATGTTTTAATACTGGCATGAAGTCAGTACTCTTTTTCTACTCCATTTTTCAAGATATTTTTGAATATTCTTACTTATTACCTAAGCATGAAGTTTAGGACCAACTTGCCCAGTTTAAAAAAAAATGGGGAGGGCAAACTAAGTGTTTTATTGTGAATGCAATGAGTATTTTATCATATTAAATGTATAAGTTACCAAGGAAAGTCATAAGGTCTTAGGAATATTTAAACTCTTATATTCAAGGGGAGCTACACCATTCCAGTGTTGTTTTCTGTTTTTTCATATAGTTATTACAACCTTATTTTTCAGTATTTTTCTAGCTATTTAAAATGTGTTTTCTATTATACATGAAATACAACCTTTTATACATTTTCTAACTAATGTATTTTATGCAGGAGAGATCTGATATTATATATTAATACTAAGCTATTTGTCTATATGGTATGCTATATTTTACAATTGAACATGGGTATAACTGAAAGTTCACTAAAATTTTCCAGGCATACTATTATACCATGTGCAAATAAATAAAATTTGACTCCTTTTCCAATTTTTATAACTCAATATTTATTCTAATTTATTTTTCTCACTAGCAACCTTAGGACATTTCTGAAATAGCTCAAAGTGTTTTCCTGGACACATAACCCTAAGCATATCACCATTTTAAAGAAAAACATTTTTTTTCTAATTTAATTAAAACTTTTGCTTCCTTTTTAGTGAAGAAGGGATGCATATTTTCACTGTATTTTCAACATCTATGAGGATGATGTTATTTTGTTCTACATGGTAAATTAGAACCACATATTGTATTGTGACATGTATTATGCTAACATATTATACTATTATATTTAAATATTCCAGAAATAAAACTCTTTTAGTTAGGATGTATTTTTACTGTGCTATTGGATGTAGTTAAGTTGGAATTAGTTTATGAACTTGGGAATTTGGATAGCAATATTACACTGATTTAAAAATTTTTTTGAGTGCTTTATTTCTTTCTGATCTTATGATAATTTGAATACCATTAAGATTGTCCTGTTTTTAAGATGTGTTATTACTCTGAGACTTTTTAGGTGAGTATTTGATCTTTTTTATGACAACAGATTTGTTCAACTTTCCTAACTCTTATAGAATTGTTTTTGTCTGTTTCATAAAAATAAAAAATATGACCTAGGTTTCCAAATATGTTTGCATAGAATTGAGTTTATATTTTTTAAAATTCTCAGTAGATTTTCTTACTTTCCATTGACTTCACTAACATTACAAAATTGCTACTTTCTCCTTTTTATTTTTATTTAAATTCCCTAAATCATTTATATTATTTGTTTTTTAAAGAATTTCTTTCTCTTTTGTAACTCACTGATTTTCATTTGTATCTTTATTAATTTTTCATCCTATTTTTCTTATACTTATTGCGTTACTTTTCTTCCCAAACTTCTTAAGTAGAATTCTCAATATATTTATATACATTTTCTTTTCTCCTTTTACAATAATGGAAGTATTTAATAATATAAATTTTATTTAAAATATTGATATCCATATTTTGCATTATTTTGTTTGTTTAAAAAATATTATATAAAATGATTTCATTCTTCAAGGAATATTTCAAGACAGTAGTATTATTAAATTAAGCTTTTGTTTAAAATTGTTTGATTAACTTGTGGTTGTATTGCATTGTGTCGAGAGAATATTTCCTGACCTACTTATACAATAAGGAATGTACTGACTAGATATGTGGTCCATTATCATGAATTGCCATGGGCTTTCTATTCTCGAGCTGCGTAAATCAATACATATATCAGTTATATCTCCCTTGATATGTTCGTTAGTTATTCAAACTCCTTATTCTTTTCCACTTTAACGCTGAATGAATTAAAGTCTTCTGCTTCTGCTATATTCTAATTCTCTTTTTTAATGAATTTTAATATTTTGTTTCTCAGTGCATAGCTAATTTTTACTCTTATATCCTTATTGTGTATTGATTCTTCTGCATTATGCTTTGCTGCTTGCTGATGTTCAATGCCAGAATTTAAACTTGTCTGATAGAAAGATCATGAGTCACCATTTTTATCTGCTTCAAAACTACTTCCTCTGCTGAGTGATCTTCCTCTGCCATTTATTTCTTAGGTTATTTTTCTACTGGAAAATGTATATATCCTTTGGATATATAGAATATAGTTTCATTTCTTTATTTTAAACTTGTGTATCTTTTATTATTTTTCTTATCGTATTATTCTAGCTAAGACTTTCAGCATGATGTCAAAAATTAGTGGTAGGAAAATAAATCATTGCTTTGTTCTCAATCTTAGAAAGAAACTTTTCATTATCTCAGCATTAAACACAATACCAGTTCTAAGGGATTTTTTGTTTGTTTAGTTTGGTTTTTGTTTTTGAAATACTCCCCTCAGGAAAGTTTCTTTTTATTCTCAGAGATCTTTTTGAGAACTTTTATTATAAATGAGTGCTGACATTTGTTAAATGCTTTTATTATGTTTTGCTCTTATACAGTCGGTTAATATAATGATAGATTGATTCACAAATGTTGAATCAGCTTCGCATTACTGAAATAAATAGCAACTGATGATGATGTGTTACCCTTTTTAAAATATAATTGTATTTGCTAATATTTTGTTAGGGATTTTTATGTCTATATTAATGAGATATAATAGTATGTAGTTTTGTTGTTTTTCTTGCATTTATCTGATCTTGATACTAGGGTAATGCTGGCCTGACAAAATCAGCTGCAAAGTGTTCACTTCCATTTTCTGGAAGAGATCCTGTATAATTAGCATTATTTCTTGTATTTTTTCTTTTTTCAGATAGGGTCTTGCTCTATCGCCCCAGGCTGGAGTGCAATGACACAATCATAGCTCAACCTCACTGCAGCTTGAAACTCCTGGGCCCAAGCAATTCTCCCACCTCAGCTTCCAGAGTAGCTAGGACTAGAGGTGCACACCACCATGCCCAACTAGTTTTAAAAAAATTGTAGAAATGGGGGTCTTGCTGTATTGCCCAGGCTGGTCTCAAACACCTTGCCTCAAAATGACCTTCCCACCTCAGCTGCCCAAAGTGCAGGAATTACAAGTGTGAGCCACCATGCCAAGCCCTCTTTTTAAAATGTTTGTTAGAGCCATCAGAGAAACTATTTGAGCTTTTAACTGCTATTTAATTCCATTTACAGATGTAGGGACAATTGGATTATCTGTTTTGGCCTGAGTTAGTTTTGGTAATTTGAGTCTTTTAAGAAATCGGTACATTTCATCTGAGTTATCAAATTTAAGACATGTAGATCAATAGCAATGATGTGTTTTACTCCTCGTGTTGGAGATTTATATATTTTCTTTTTTTTTCTTGGTTAGTTTGGCTAAAGTTGTATTATTCTTATTGATGTTTTCAAATAACTTGGTTTTTAAGAATTTTCTCTTTATTCCTGTTTTGTGTCATTGATTTCTGCTCTAATTTTTATCATTTCCCTTTTTCTGTTGCTGTAGGTTTAATTTTACTCTTCATTCTCTGTTATCCTAAGATGGCTGCTTACATTATCAATTTATATATGTCTTCTCTTCCAATATATTCATTTAATGCTATAAATTTCCCTTTAAGCTCTACTTTAGATGTATTCCACACATTTTGATAAGTTGTACTTTCATTTTAATTTAGTTAAAATATTTTAAATTTGATACTTCTTTAATTTATGTTATTTTAAAATGTGTGGTTTATTTTCCAAATTCAGCTAACTTTCTTTTCTTAATTTCCAGTGTGTTCTAAGAACATAGATTGTATAATTTCTATTCCTTAAGTTTGCTAAGTTGTATTTTTGTAGTCCAAAATGTGGTCTATCTTGATGAATATTTTACTTGTGTGTGAGAAGAATGTCTATTCTGCCCTTAGATAGACAATTCTCTGACTGTTAGTTCTCAGGTAGAATTTGAATAGAGCTTTGCTGGGATTTTTGGATAGTACTAACACCTTCAGATCATTACTCATCTTTGAATTATTCCTGGTAAAGTTTCTGTAGTGAGGGCTGTGGATCAGTGTTTCAGGACAGCAGTTATTCTTACTGGTTCAAAGTGAATTTCCAAGTTATGTTTCTGTGAGTTATAATTCATAGTATCCACCATGCTAACCAAGATAGGTAACTTCAAGGTTAGTTTTAAATCAAAGTGGTACCGCTCTCCCCTGTCCTTTCTTATTTGACCACTCTTCACAATGATAGCATTTCAGCTACCATTATCTCTTCCACTCACGTCATTATCTCTTCTACTCTGCCTCTGCAGGCCACCTAAGAGTGCTTAGAGAAGACCAGAACACCAAGTCACATAATGTTTTGTCACTCCAGGTGCCACCATACTTGAAGAATTATAGCCTGGATGTTCTTCTTTGAACCTGTGGTCATCAGAGTCCTCTTTAGACATGTTCCTGCATTCCTGTTGGGCGTCACATTGTTTTGATCTTTCTTCATGTTTTAGGGTATTTTTTTTTAAAGAGAAGAAGATCTTCCTTTTAGCTACTTTTGCTATCTAAAGAGGCTGGGAACTCAAGCCTGAACCCTGACAGAGGTCAACTGCTAGGGGAATGTGGAATAAACAGAGCTTTTGGTCCTTGAGAACAAAATGATGCAATTGTTAGCTGGAGAAACCTCAAACCTGATCTCTTCTTCAAGAATCTTACCAAAGCATGAAAGTGTACACATTGAGAAGCTAAATAACTTTAATTTAGTTACTTAGCTATTCTAATCTTTCAAAATTGCAGTGGATATTCTCACAATGTCTTCCTCCTGAAGGGACAATGGCATGCCAACTTCTCGATTGATAGCTCAAGAAGTCCACAATCTGGAATTAGAGTATACCAAAGGAATACTGACGCTTACCACAGCTGCAATCCAACCTTCACTTTGTCTCCTCTATGACTGAATTAAGGTAATCAGGGAAATGGAAAAGTTCTCACAGTAGATGATAACGTGATCTGGAACCTCTACAATTTTTTTTTCTTTTAATATATACAAAATGTCTCAGTTTCAACAGAAAATTAACAGTCATGTGGGAGAAGAAAGGGGTATAGGCTAAAAAGGAGACATCAGAAGCACACCTAAAAGTGATATAGATATCAAAGATATAAAATAACTATGATAAATGTTTATTAAGATAGAGGAAAAGCAGGACAAATAGATGAAAAGTAAAATGCTTCAAAAAAAAGAATCTACAAAGAAAGAGAAGTAATTTGACATTCTAAAAATGAACAATACAATACCCCAAATCATTAATTGGATATAACTTAAGGTAGAAATAGTAAGCTGGAAAAAGGAACAATATGAAACACCCAAATAAAGTGATAGGTAGATGAAAGAATGGTGGGGGAGAGGGGAGTAGGGGAATTAGAAACCTGTGGGATATAGTAAAAACATTCAATACAAATATTATTGGAATCCCAGTAGGAGAGATCAGAAAAGAAGAAATACGTGAAGATCTGATGCTAAGTAATTTTATAAATGATGAAAGTCATAAACCTAAAACCTAAAACGTTCAGTGATACTGAAGAAGTAACAAACACAACGCAACTAAACTGAGACATATCATAGTCAATTTGCTAAAATTCAAAGATAAAAAGTTATTGTAGAGAAAAAAATATTACCTTCAAAAGAGTGGCAAGAAGAATGATAACTGTCTTTGCAATAGCAATAATGAAAGCCAAATTCAGAATCCATTCATAGATCTCTGTGACTATGAGTGAGTTAGCTCTGCTACTGAAGAATCTGTAAAGCCCTTGCTATCAGTCATGATCATTTGGAATAAAATATTCAAGGCATAGAAATAAACATCTATATGTTAATTTTTACATTTTCTTTTATTCCTTGTTTTATTTTAATCTGCATTACTAATGATCCCATTCTCCCTCTTTTTAATCCAATTTCTCAAGCATCCTCATAAACCGTCTCTGTTTATTTTTGTAATACAATGTGAGCATTCTTCCTTTTGGGAGGAAAAATATACAGTCTTCTAGTATTTCCTAGGATAAAGTTATCTGGCCAGCCAAAATCCAGCTTACTGGTTTTCTGAGCAGTGTCTGAAGATAAGTGTGTCTGTTTTTAGAAACCTTTGAGTGCTCTCCTTCTACTCCATCTGTAGCAGATACTTTTGAGAAATTATCTCTTTTACTTCAGAACTAAGGCTTTACAGTCCCAAGGCAATTTGTGGACAGAATTGCTCATGGGAATAAAATCTACAAATTATTTCTTTTTCTTGCAATGTTGCTACTAAAGCTGTATTCATTTCTTATGAGAGCAAAATCTTCAACACCCATGATAAGATGCTGATGTTTAAATATTTTGCACACTACCTGTAAAGCACACACAGATTTTTATAGACTCATGAAATATGTGTTTTGAAAAATATTTGTGGAATTATGAAGTTCAATCATTAACTACAGAGTGTATCCCCTCCAACACTCCCTTTGCATGTGATTATTAGTCATATGCATACACATTGTCAGTGATGAGGAACTCAACGCTTATTATATTTTTAAAAGAGCTTTATTTACGTATAATTCATATACCATAAAATGCACCCAATTTAAGTATACAATTCAGATATTTTTCATAAATTTAAAGAATTATGCAACCATTGTTCAGTTTTAGGACACTCCTATCACCCCAGAGAGATCCTTCATTCACCATTAGTATTCATTCTCATTCCCTCTTCCAGCACCAAATAACCACTAATTTACTTTCTTTCTCTACAGATTTGCCTTTTCTGGATATTTCATATAAATGGAATCACAAAATATGTAGTCTTTTGTGCCTGACTTATTTACTTAGCATGTTTTGGGAGCTGTCTTTCATGGTGGATGCATCATTTTACATTCCCACCAGCAATGTATGAAGACTCCAGTTTTTCCATATTCTAAGCAACACATCTTATTGTCTTTGTTTTTGATTACCAACATTATGGTAGGTGAACCAGTATTTCATTACAGTTTTAATTATAATGTTCCCAATTACTAATGTTATAGAGCACACCCCATGTGCCTTACTTTTTAGATATCATGTCTCTTATTTTGTGAAATGTATTTTGAATTTTATTAATTTCTTCATTTAAACATATATAGTTGTTATATGAAAATTATCATTTATTATATTTGTGATTTGCAAGCATATGGCTTGTCTTTTCATTTCATTTTCTTAGTGGTTTTTTTTTTGAAGTTCAAAAGATTTTCATTTTGAGAAAGCACAATTTACCTTTTATTTTTCTTTTTTGGTGCGTATCTGACAACCCTTTGCATAGCCTATAGTCATGAACATTTTCTCTCATGTTTTCTCTAAAAGTTTCATATTTGTACTCTTACATATGGGTTGAGATCAGTTTGAGTAAATTTTTGTGTATGATACATCTTTTTGCATGTAAATACCAAATTGCTCCAATATATTATACATAGAAAAGACTATTTTTTCACTATTAAATCACCTTAATACTTTGTCAAATATAAATTGACTGAAATGTAAGGATTTCCATATGAACTCTAAACTTTATTCCATTGACCTATACGTATGTCTATCCTTAATAGTAGATTTTGAAAGTGCAAATTCTTCAACTTTGTTCTTACGTTACAAAACTGTCTTGCTATTCTGGGTTATTTTCATTTTCATACATTCTCATGGGTTTTTTTATAGAGATTGCTTTCAATCAATAGTTTGATTTGTTATCTTAACAGTATTGAAAATTTCAGTTAACAACATGGTCCATTTTTTAATTTTTTAGATTTTATTTTGTTTATCTCTGCATTGTTTTTTTTGTTTGTTTATTTGTTTGTTCGTTTGAGACAGAGTCTCACTCTATAGCCCAGGCTGGAGTGCAGTGGCACAATCCTGGCTCACTGCAACCTCTGCCTCCCAGGTTCAAGCAATTCTCCGGCCTCAGCCTCCCAAGTAGCTGGGATTACAGGCACGTGCCACCACACCCAGCTAATTTTTGTTATTTTTAGTAGAGACAGGGTTTCACCATGTTGGTCAGGCTGGTCTCAAACTCCTGACCTTAGGTGATTCACCTGCCTTGGCCTCCCAGAGTGCTGGGATTTCAGGAGCAAGCCACCACGTCTGGCCTGCAATGTTTTCTGGTTTTCAGTGTGCATGCCTTGCAATTCTCTTATTTTCTAATTCCTTCACTGAATTTGATGCTGTCATGAATACATTATTTTTTCAATTCCTTTTTCATATGTTTCATTGCTGCTGATATATAGAAAGGTAATTGGTATTTATACATTGATTCTGTATATTATAACCTTACTGAAGTAGTTTATTAGTTCCAGTAGTGTTTCAAAAGTTCCTTAGTTCAACCATTGTGGAAAGCAATGTGGTAATTCCTCAAAGAGCTGAAAATAGAACTACCATTTGACCCAGCAATCCCATTACTGGGTATATACCCAGAGGAATATAAATCATTCTACCATAAAGACACATGCACACGAGTGTTCATTGCAGCACTATTTGTAATAGCAAGGACATGGAATCAACCTAAATGCTCATCAATGACAGATTGGATAAAGAAAATGTGGTACATATACACTATTTCATGGAATACTATGCGGCCATAAAAAAAAAGTGAGATCATGTCTTGTGTGGGAACACGGATGGAGCTGAAGGGCATTATCTTTAGCCAACTAATGCAGGAACAGAAAACCAAATACTTCACGTTCATGTTCGCACTTATAAGTGGGAACTAAATGATGAGAACTCGTTAACACAAAGAGGGCAACAACTAGACACTTGGGCTTACTTGAGGGTGGAGAATGGAAGGGGGGCAGTGGGAGGAGGAGGAGGAGCAAGAAAAGAATAAATAACTATTGGGTACTAAGCTTAGTACCTGGGTGATGAAATAATCTGTACAAGAAACCCCCCATGTTAGTTTACCTGTAAAACAAACCTCCATATGTACTCCTGAACCTAAAATAAACATTTTAAAGTAAATAAATAAGTAAATATAGGGGAGAATATGTATGAGGTATATGGGAATTCTGTACTATCTTTGCAATATTGCTGTAAATCTACAACTATTATAAATTTTTTTAAAAAATTTTTTAAAAGAAAGAAGAAAAGCCTTGGCTTTTCAAAAATTTTAAAAGGGTTTTCTATGTAGAAAATCATGTAATAAATAAATAAAATCAGTTTTAATTTCTGTTTCTCAATCCAGATGCCATTTATGTCTTTTTCTTGCTCAACTGCACTCACTGGAAGCTCTGCCACAATACTTAATAGAAGTGGTAGGAGCAGGCATCCATGTATATTCCCCAGTCTTTGGAGGAAAACATTCCATTTTTTGCCACTAAGAAGTTAGCTATTGGTTTTTCATAGATACTCTTTATCAGTTTAGGAGAGTTCTCCTTTAATTCCTAGTTTGTTGAAAGTTTTAGTCATGAAGAAGTGATGAATTTTGTCAAATGTCTTCTGTGTATCTATTGCAATGATTATGTGATTTTTCTACTAATGTGGTAAGTTATATTAACTGTTTTTCAGATGCCACATCACATGGACATGGCATATAATCCTTTTACATACTGTTGGATTACATTATTTTATAATGTTTTGTTAAGAGTTTTTGCATTTATTTTCCTGGGAGATACTGGCATGTAGTTCTCTTTTCTTGTGATGTCTTCATCAGGCTTTTGCATAAGGATAATATTGGCCTCATAGAATGAGTTGGGGAGTTATCCTTTCTCTTCAATTTTATGGCAATTTGTTCAAGACTGGTGGCATTTCTTCTTTAAATGTTTATTAGAGTTAATCAGTGCAGACATATGACCCTGGGCTTTTTCTTGTGAAAACTAATTAATTACTAATTCAATAATTTTATTTGTTATAGAAATATTTACATTTGCTTTCTCTTTGGGGGTCAGTTTTAGTAATTTGTATCCTTCTTGGAAATGGTCCTGTTTTATCTAAGTTGTTTAATTTGTTAGTGTAAAGTTATAAACACCTTTTTATTAGTATTCTTTTATAATGATTTGATTTCCTCCTAAAGTTTGTCATGAAGTGCCTTCTTTCATACTTGATTTTGATCATTTTTGTCATCCTTCATTTTCTTCAGGTTCATTATTGATAAATAGTTCTCAATTTATATCTTTTTAAATAAATCAGTTTTAGATTTACTAATTATTGTTTTTCTGTTTTTCATTTCACTAGTTTTCACTCGAATTTGTATTATTTCCTTCTGTTTTCTTTGGATTTATTTTATTCTCTATTTTTTAGTTTTTTAAGTTGTACATTTTGTTACTAATATATGTCTTCCTTTCTGATACTGAAGTTTATAGCTATCAATTTTGATTTAAGTACTGATTTAATTTTGCCTTATAAATTTTGATATATTGCATATTAATTTTTAGTCAGCTTGAAATATTTTATGATTTCACCTGTGATTTCTTCTTTGCCACATAGGCTATATAGAGATGTGGTGTTAATATCCAAATATTTGTGGATTTCTGAAATTTCCTTCTGTGGTTAATTTCTAATTTAGTTTCATTGCAGTTGGCAATCATAGTTTGCTTGACTTTGATCCTTTTAAATTTACTGGATATTGGTTCATGGCCTAACATATGGTTTATCCTGGAGAATACACCACATGGAACTTGAAAAGAATACTTATTACAATTATTGGGTTGAATATTTTAATGTTAACTAAGGAGGGCAGGTAAAAATGGCAGAGTAAGAACCTCTGAATATCTACTCCTTCGTAAAAGCACGAGAACACTGGCAAAACATCGTCAGAATCAACATTTTTGAAATTCTGAAATTTAATCAAAGGCTTGAAGCAATTAGGGAGAATTTATTCAAGAAAAGGAATCTCTCTAAGAAGAGCAAGCAATGTAGCATTTTAAGTTGTATTCCCATTCTACCTTCCATGGCTTTCCCATAGTCTTGAAAACTAAGAGCTCACCACCACAGTGAAAACTATGAGCCTGGTAGCCAATAGAAAAAGCAGAATAGTTCTCGAGCTCCATCAAGGCTCTTTTACTAAAAAAACTTTCATTGTTTTACCTGTCATGGAATTCCCTGGAAGAACCCACTTAATAGGCCCTCATTATTTGACCTAATTTAAAGCTCAGCAAGGGCAAACAAGCTTTTCCCCAGATACATTTGGCAAAAGCCGTAAGAGACAATTGTTTAATGTTTCAGCTCTCTGAAGCAACACACAACAGTTGAAGCCAACAATAGGTAAACCAAAAAGCTGGAAAAGAAAAGCTGGTGAATGGAATTTCCAGAGAAATCTTTAAAAAGCCTCAAAGTATTCCTGGACTCTGGAAGTTCAAACACATGTATAGAGGTATGTTCATGTCCAAGGCTACCTTCATGCTCATACCCAAGAAGGCCCTAAGCTCTCACTTTTGTCTGTTCTTCAGATTCCGCACAAGCAGGAAGTGAAGACTAAGGTAATTTTCAACTACCTGGCTGAACATTGAAGGTGTGTCCCAACATGCACACAGAGACCCTCTGCCAAGGTAGGGAGATTTATCAGTTCCAGGAAACTCTGAAAAATATCTGTCCGTTGATTAGCTACCCACTAAGCTGACCAAGGAGAGAACTCAGTAGCTACATACAATGAAGAATACATATTTTAAAGAACTAGTTAAGAAAAGTCTGTAGTAAACAATAGTGACAGCAATAACAAATGACAATAATAACAAATGCTAGGGAAAGGAAAGAATCTGATTTTCAGAGTTGACACATTATATTATTTAAAATGTTCATTTTTCAACATAAACTGTGTGAAATGAAAAAAAAAAAAAAAAAAAAATATGACCCATTAACAAAGAACAATGCCCCCAATAGAAACTGTTCTTGAGAGAGCACAAACTTTCAATTTACTAGACAAATACTCTGTACCAATTATATTTTGAATTGCTCAAAAATTAAGGGAGACCAGGTACAGTAGCTCACACTTGTAATCTCAGCATTTTGGGAGGCCAAGGCAAGAGGATCGTTTGAGCCCAGAAGTGCAAGACCAGCTTGGGCAACATTGTAAGACCCTGTATGTAGGAAAAAAAAAATTAAAAATTAGCCTGATGCAGTGTCATCTGCCTGTGATCCTAGCTACTCAGGAAACTGAGCCAGGAGGATCACTTGAGCCCAAAAGGTCAAGGCTGTGGTGAGTTTTGATGGCACCACTGCACTCCAGCCTGGGTGGCAGAGTGAGACCCCTGGATGACAGAGAAAGAATCTGACTCAGAAAAAAAAAGAAAGGAAAAAAACAGGAAATTGTGACCTAACAAACTAAAGGTATGAGAATCTCTGAGACACAGCTGAAGCAGTGTTAAGAGGGAAGTTTATAGCACTAAACATCCACATCAAAAAGTTACAAAGATCTCAAATTAACAACCGAAGATCACACCTAGAAGAACTAGAGAAGCAATAGCAATCTAACCCCAAAGCTAGCAGAAGACAAAAGTAACCAAAATTAGAGCTGAAGTGAACAAAAGTGAGACGCAAAAGACCATACAAAAGATAAACGAATCCAGGAGTTGGTTTTTTGAAAGAATAGATAAGACTGATAGGCCACTAACTAGACTAATAAAGAAGAGAGAATATACAAATAAACACAATCAGAAATGGCAAAGGGGACATTACCACTGATCCCATAGAAATAAAAAAAACTCTGAGAGACTATTATTAACACCCCTATGCACCAAACTGAATACCTAAAACAAACAGAAAAATTGCTGGAAACATAAAACCTCCCACGATTGAACCAAGAAGAAATTGAACTCCTGAATAGACCAATAGTGAGTCTGAATCCTTTGAATCAGTAATAAAAAGCCTACCAACCAGAAAGACAGATTCACAACCAAACTTTACCAGAGGTATAAAGAGTTGGTGTCATTCCTACTGAAACTATTCCAGAAAATTGGGAAGGGACTCCTCCCTAACTCATTCAATGAAGCCATCATCACCTTGATTCCAAAACCTGCCAGAAAGCACACACACTCACACACACATGCACATACACACACACAAACTTCAGGCAAATAACCTTGATGAGCATGGATGCAAAACTCCTCAACAAAATACTAGCAAACTGAATCTAGCAGCAACATGAAAAAGCAAATCCACCACAATCAAACAGGCTTTATCCCTGGGATAAAAGGTTGGTTCAACATAGGTAAATAAATGCAATTCACCACATAAACAGAACTAAAAACAAAAACCACATGATCATCTGAATAGATACAGAAAAGGCTTTCAATAAAATTCAATATCTCTTCATGTTAAAAACCCTCAACAAGCTAGGCATTGAAGAAACATACCTCCAAATAATAAGAGCTATCTAGGACAAACCCACAACCAACATCTTACTGAATGTGCAAAAACTGGAAGCATTCCTCTTGAGAACCAAAACAAGACAAGGATGCCTACTCTCACCACTCCTACTCAACATAAGTCTTAGCCAGAGCAATCAGGCAAGAAAAAGAAATAAAAGATATCCAAATAGGAAGGGAAGAAGTCAAACTATCTCTGTTTGCAGATGATGTGATCCTATACCTATAAATCCCCGTAGTCTCTGGCCAAAAGATCCTAGATCTGATAAACAACTTCAGCAAAGTTTCAGGATACAAAATAAATGTACAAAACTTAGTAGCATTTCTATACACTAACAACATCCAAGCCGAGCCAAAAACAAAATGCAATCTTTTTCACAATAACCACAAAAAGAATAAAATACCTAGGAATACAGGTAACCATGGAGATAAAAGATCTCTACAATGAGAATTACAAAATACTGCTCAAAGAAGTCCAAAATGAAACAAACAAATGGGAAAACATCCCATGTTAACAGGTAGGAAGAATCAATATTGTTAAAAGGGCCATACTGCCCAAAGCAATTTACAGATTCATTGCTATTCCTATCAAACTAACAAAGTCATTTTTTGTAGAATTATGCAAAAACTATTCTAAAATTAACGTAGAAACAAAATACTTCTCAAGGAATTCAAGAAAACCATCTTAAAATTCACATGAAACCACAAAAGAGCTCAAATAGCCAAGGCAGTTCCAAGTAAAAAGAATAAAGCTGGAGGCATCATGTTATCCAACTTAAAACCATACCACAAAGGCTACAATAACCAAAAACAGCATGAAACTATTACAAAAACAGACACATAGATGAATGGAGCAGAGTAGAGAGCTCAGAAATAAAGACACACACCTACAACCATCTGATCTTCAACAAGGGTGACAAAAACAAACAATGGGAGAAGGACTCCCTATTCAATCAATAGTGTTGGCATAACTGCGTAGCCATATGCAAAAGATTGAAATTGTACCCTTTCATTACACCATACACAAAAATCAATTCAAGATGAATTAAAGATTTAAAAGTAAAACCTAAAAGTACAAAAACTGGAAGATAACCTATCAAATATCATTCTAATGAACATGCCAAAAGCAACTGCAACAAAAACAAAAATTGACAAATGAAACCTAGTTAAACTAAAGAGCTTTTGCACAGCAAAAGAAATTAGCAACAGAGTAAAAAGATAAGGTACCGAATGTGAGAAAATGTTTGCAAACTATACATCCAACAAAGGTCTAATATCCAGAGTCAATAAGGAACTTAAACAAATTAACAAGCAAAAAACAAACAACACCATTCAAAAGTGGGCAAAGGACATGACCAGACACTTTTCAAAAGAAGACATACATGTGACCAATAAGCATATGAAAACATGTTCAGTATTACTAATTATTAGAGAAATGCAAATAGAAACCACAATGAGATACCATTTCTCACCAATCAGAATGGCTATTATTAAAAAGTCAAAAAATAACAGCTGCTGGTGAGGTTGCAGAGAAAAGGGAATGCTTATGCACTGCTGAGGGGAATAAAAATTAGTTTAGCTATTGTGGAAAGTAGTTAGGAAATGGCTCAAAGAACTTAAAAGAGAAGTACCATTTGACCTAGCCATCCCATTATTGAATATACACTCAAAGGAAGGTAAATCGTTCTACCATAAAGATGCATGCATATGTTCATCACAGCACTATTCACAATAGCAAAGACATGGAATCAACCTAAGTGCCCATCAATGATGGACTGGATAAAGAAAATGTAGTTATATATATGCCATGTAATACTATACAGCCATAAAAAAGAATGAGATCATGTTCTTTGCAGCAACATGGATGAAGCTGGAGGCCATTATCCTAAGCAAACTAATGCAGGAACAGAAATTAAATACTGCGTTTTCTCACTTAAAAGTGGGAGCTAAACAATGAGTACAGATGGACACAAAGAAGGGAACAACAGGCACTGGAGCCTACTTGATAGTGGAGGGTGGGAGGAGGGAGAGGATCAAAAATCTACCTATCAGGTGCTATGTTTATTACCTGGGTGAAAAAATAATGTGTGCCCAAACCGTCATGACACACAATTTACCTGTATAAGAAACCTGCACATGCATCCTTGAATCTAAAATGAGAGTGAAAAATAAATAAAAATAATTTTAAAAATAAAATAGGAAAAAAGAGCATATCTGCTGAAAACAAAACTAAAGGGAAGTATAAGAATGATGAGAATATTCTTCCAAATAGAGACTATCAAAAAAGCTATTTTATTTCAATTCTATGTATAGTCTACAATATGATGATAAATATATCTATATTCTATTTCTGTTGAATGGGGTGTGTGTATGTGTGTTTGTAAATTGTGGAATTGAAAAGTATAATAACTGAGAAGAATTTTATCAGAAGCACTTAACAATAGATGTGAGCTGGCGGAATCAGCAAACATAAAGATAAGTCCATTGAGATTGTGCAATCTGAGGAACAGAAAGAAAACATAACAAAGAAAAATGAAAAGAGCCTCAAAAGTCTGTGGTACATCATAAGGCAAACAATATGTGTACAATATGAGTCACACCATGAGAAAAGAGAGATGAGAGATAAAGAATCAGAAAGAATATTTGAAAAAATAGCAACCAAAATTTTCTGAATTTGATAAAAACCATTAATCTAAAAACCCTAAAAATTTACTCTCCAAGTAAAATAAACTCAAAGAGACACACATCTACATGTATCATAACAAAACTATCAACAAACAAAGACAAGGAGAGACTCTTGGGATCAGCAAGAGAGGTGATGTATCACATACAAGGTATCCTCAATAAGACAGTTTATTGCTTATCACACACAGTGGAGGCCAGAAGGCAGTGGGTGCATATTTAAAGTGTTGAAAGGGCCGCTTCCAAGATGGCCAAATAGGAACAGCTCTGGTCTGCAGCTCCCAGTGAGATCGACACAGAAGACGGGTGATTTCTGCATTTCCAACTGAGTTACCTGGTTCATCTCATTGGGACTGGTTGGACAGTGGGTGCAGCCCACAGAGGGAGAGCTGAAGCACAGTGGGGTGTCACCTCACCCAGAAAGCACAAAGGGTCAGGGGATTTCCCTTTCCTAGCCAAGGGAAGCTGTGACAGACTGTACCTGGAGAAATGGTACACTTCTGACCAAATACTGCGCTTTTCCCACAGTAGGAAAGTCTTAGCAACCGGCAAATGAGGAGATAACCATTCATGCCTGGCTCAGTGGGTCCCTTGCCCACAGAGCCTTACTCACTGCTAGCACAGCAGTCTGAGATGGACATGTGATGCTGCAGCTTGACAAGGGGTGTCTGCCATTGCTGAGGCTTGAGTAGCTCACAGTGTAAACAAAGAGGCTGGGAAACACTAACTGAGCAGAGCCCACCACAGCTCAGCAAGGCCTACTGCTTCTATAGATTCCACCTCTGGGGGAGGGCATAGTAGAACAAAAGGCAGTAGGCAGCTTCTGCAGACTTAAACATCCCTGTCTGTCAGCTCTAAAGAGGGAAGTGGTTCTCTCAGCAGCAAGCCATTTGAGCTCTGAGAACAGACAGACTGCCTCCTCAAGCGGGTCCCTGACCCCCACGTAGCCTGACTGGGAAACACCTCCCAGTAGGGGCTGACAGACACCTCAAACACGTGGGTGCCCCTCTGGGACAAAGCTTCCAGAGGAAGGATCAAGCAGCAATATTTGCTGTTCTGTAGCTTCCGCAGGTGATACCCAGGCAAACAGGGTCTGGAGTGGACTTCTAGCAAACTCCAACAGACCTGCAGCTGAGGGACCTGACTATTAGAAGGAAAACTAACAAACAGAAAGGAATAGCATCAACATCAACAAAAAGGACATCCATACCAAAACCCCATCTGTAGGTCACCAACATCAAAGACCAAAGGTAGATAAAACCACAAAGATGGGGAGAAACCAGAGCAGAAAGCTGAAAATACCAAAAAACAGAGCACCTCTTCTCCTCCAAAGGATCGCAGTTCCTTGCCAGCAAGAGAACAAAACTGGACAGAGAATGAGTTTGACGAGTTGACAGAAGTAGTTTTCAGAAGGTCAGTAATTACAAATTTCTCCAAGCTAAAGGAGCATGTTCTAACCCATTGCAAGGAAGCTAAAAACCTTGAAAAAAGGTTAGACAAATGGCTAACTAGAATAAACAGTGTAGAGAAGACCTTAAATGATCAGACGGAGTTGAAAGCCATGGGACGAGGACTTCATGACGCATGCACAAGCTTCAACAGCCAATTCAATCAAGTGGAAGAAAGGATATCAGTGATTGAAGATCACATTAATGAAATAAAGCAAGAAGACAAGATTAGAGAAAAAAGAGTGAAAAGAAACGAACGAAGCCTCCAAGAAATATGGGACTATGTGAAAACACCAAATCTACGTTTGATTGGTGTACCAGAAAGTGACGGGGAGAATGGAACCAAGTTAGAAAACACTCTTCAGGATATTATCCAGAACTTCCCTAACCTACCAAGGCAGGCCAACATTCAAATTCAGGAAACACAGAGAATACCGCAAAGATACTCCTCAAGAAGAGCAACCCAAAGACAAATAAATGTCAAGTTCACCAAGGTTGAAATGAAGGAAAAAATGTAAAGGGCAGCCAGAGAGAAACATTCGATTATTCACAAAGGGAAGCCCATCAGACTAACAGTGGATCTCTCGGCAGAAACTTGATTGCATATTTAGAAAACCCTGTCATCTCAGCCCAAAATCTCCTTCAGCTGATAAGCAAATTTAGCAAAGTCTCAGGATACAAAATCAATGTGCAAAAGTCACAAGCATTCCCATACACCAATAATAGACAGAGAGCCAAATCATGAGTGAACTCCCATTCACAATTACTTCAAAGAGAATAAAATATCCAGGAATCCAACTTACAAGGGATGTGAAGGACCTCTTCAAGGGGAACTACAAACCACTGCTCAATGAAATAAAAGAGGACACAAACAAATGGAAGAACATTCCATGCTCGTGGATAGAAAGAATCAATGTTGTGAAAATGGCCATACTGCCCAAGGTAATTTATAGATTCCATGCTGTCCCCATCAAGTTACCACTGACTTTCTTCACAGAATTGGAAAAAACTACTTTAAAATTCACATGGAACCAAAAAAGAGCCTGCATAGCCAAGACAATCCTAACCAAAAAGAACAAAGCTGGAGGCGTCACACTACCTGACTTCAAACTATGCTAAAAGACAGCATGGTACTGGTACCAAAACAGATATATAGAACAAGGGAACAGAACAGAGGCCTCAGAAGTAACACTACACATCTACAACCATCTAATCTTTGACAAACCTGAGAAAAACAAGAAATGGGGAAAGGATTCTGTATTTAATAAATGGTGCTGGGAAAACTGGCTAGCCATATGTAGAAAGTTGAAACTGGATCCCTTCCTTACACCTTATACAAAAATTAACTCAAGATGGAAAAAAGACTTAAATGTAAGACCTAAACCATAAAAACCCTAGAAGAAAACCTAGGCAATACCATTCAGGACATAGGCATGTGCAAAGACTTCATGACTGAAACACCAAAAGAATGGCAACAAAAGCCAAAATAGCCAATTGGTTCTAATTAAACTAAAGAGCTTCTGCACAGCAAAAGAAACTATCATCAGAGTGAACAGGCAGCCTACAGAATGGGAGAAAGTCTTTGCAATCTACCCATCTGACAAATGGCTAATATCCAGAATCTACAAAGAACTTAAACAAATTTACAAGAAAAAAACGAACAACCTCATTAAAAAGTGGGTAAAGGATATGAAAAGACACTTTCCAAAAGAAGACATTTATGTAGCCAACAGACATATGAAAAAATGCTCATCATCACCAGTCATCAGAGAACTGAAAATCAAAACCACAATGAGATACCATCTCACACCAGTTAGAATGGCGATCAATAAAAAGTCAAGAAACAACAGATGCTGGAGAGGATGTGGACAAATAGGAACGTTTTTACACTGTTGGTTGGGAGTGTAAATTAGTTCAACCATTGTGGAAGACTGTGTGGCGATTCCTCAAGGATCTAGAACTAGAAATACCATTTGACCTAGCAATCCCATTACTCAGTATATACCCATGCTACTATAAAGACACATGCACACATATGTTTATTGCAGCACTATTCACAATAGCAAAGACTTGGAACCAACCAAATGTCCATCAATGATAGACTGGATTAAGTAAATGTGGCACATATATGCCATGGAATACTATGCAGCCATAAAAATGGATGAGTTCATGTCCTTTGTGGGGACATGGATGAAGCTGGAAACCATCATTCTCAGCAAACTATCACAAGGACAGAAAACCAAACACCGCATGTTCTCACTCATAGGTGGGAGTTGAACAATGAGACCACACGGATACAGAGTGGGAAATATCACACACCGGGGCCTGTCGGGGGGTGGGGGGCCGGAGGAGGGACAGCAGTAGGAAAAATACCTAATGTAAATGACGAGTTGATGGGTGCAGCAAACCAACATGACACATGTATACCTACATAACAAACCTGCATGTTGTGCACATGTACCCTAGAACTTAAAGTATAATTTTAAAAATTTAAAAAAATAAAGTGTTGAAAGGAAATATTGTCAATCAAAAATTCTCTGTCTAGCAAAACTATCCTTCAAAAATGAAAGAGAAATTAAGATGTTTCCACAAAAACGAAAACTGACAGAATTCTTCACTAGCAGACTTTGCCCACAAGAAATAATAACAGGTGACTTTCATGATAAAACGAAAGAACACTAGACTAACTTAAATTCATATTAAGAAATAAAAAGTACCAGTAAAGCTAACTACATGGGTAAATATGAAGGACAGTATATAGGTGTATTTTTTGTTTTTGATAATTGTTTCTGCTATCTGATTTAAAAGATAATAGCATAAAGCAATAGTTATAAATTTGTGCCAGGGGGCATAAAATCTATGAAGATGTAATTTGTATAATAATGAGAGCACAAAAGAGAGGGCATGAAGAATGAAGGTATATTGGAGTAATTTATACATTCCCAGTTGAAATTAAGTTGATATTAATTCAAACTATATTGTTAAAAGTTGTTACCTGTAATCTCCAAGGCAATCACTAAGGAAATAATTTTAAAATATAGTGAAACAACAGAAAACTTAAAGTTGTGCAATAGAAAACATCAATGTTTCTCGAAGAAGGTACTAATAAAGGAATAAAGAAACAAAAAACTTAAGACATAGAAAACAAATAATAAAGTTGCACTTGTCAATCCCTCATATCAGTAACTACATGAAATGTAAATGGATTAAAAACATGAATCATATGACATATGTATTGAAAGAATGAATTTTTTAAATAATCCCACTAAATGCTTTTGTAAGAGACACACTTTAGATTCAAAGACACAAATAGGATAAAAATATAATGATGGGAAGGATATTATCCTGAAAACTGTCAACAAAAGAAAGGTGATGCCTCTATACTAATGTCAGACAAAATAGAGTTTAAGACGAAAATGGTTAGTCAACACAAAGAAGTAGGTTTTATAATAATAAACATGTAAATTCATCAGGAAGACATAAGAATTGTATACATATGTTGATCTAGCAATATAGTTGCAAAGTACATGAAGCAAAACTACTATAATTGAAGGGAAAATACACTATCAACAATAATAGATGCATATGTTAATACAATACTCTCAATAATAATATAGAACAACTAAAATTGTAAAAAATCAGCAAGTATATAAGACTTGAAAAATATTGACTAACTTGACTCAACTGATGTATTTTACTGAAATATGATTCACATGCCACAACATTTATTCTTTTAAAATATACAGTTCTTAGTTGTTTTTGTAAATTCACGAAATTATGCAATCATTACCACTATCTAATTCTGAAACATTTTGTCACCTCAGAAAGAAACCCTGTACCCATGAGCAGTCAGGTCCTATTCCTCCCTTCCTTCACTCCAACCCCAGGAAAATACTAATCTGCTTTCTGTGACTATGGATAAGCCTATTTTGGGCGGTTCATATTAATGGAATGAGGCAATATGTAGCCTTTGTGTTGTCTGGCATTGTTAACAACGTTCTCAAGGTTTATCTAGTTGTGGCATAAATCAGGACTTACCTCGTTTTAATGGCTGAATAATATTTCATTGTGTTTACCTGTTACTAGGTTGTTATATATATGGGTTGTTTCAACTTTGGGGCTATAAACCAATGATGCTGATATGAACATTCATGTATAAGAAAAACAATCTTAATTTCAGCAAAATGTAGAAATTAAACTCCAATATAGCTGAATTTCTTTCATGATTCTTATGCTATCATTGTTATATATGTTACATATTTATATGTACATACATATTTCATAATTCATATTTTATAAACTTAGCAATATAAGTTTATAGTCATTATTATATGAAAAGTCTTTCCAATATGTTAAAATAACAGAAAAGAAAATATGTTTATACTGTCTTTTCTATTTACCCAAATAGTTATTTGGCCATGTTCTTTATTTCTTTTTGTGGATTCAAGTTAACAGTGGTGTCATTTCCTTTCTAACTAATTTCCTTGTTATTTCTTGTAAGGTAGGTCAGCTATCACTAAATTCTCTAAATCTCTGTTTACTTCGAAATAGCTTTATTTTGCCTTCAATTTTGATGAGTAATTTTGCTAGAAATAGAATTTTTGGTTGACAAGAGTGTTTGCTGCTATCGTTTTAACCCTTTGAATATGTTATCTGATCTGTCTTCCACCCCCTGGCTTTTGGTAAAAAATCAGCTATTGATATTTGAGGTTCCTCTGTATGCAGTGAAAATCTTTTGATTTCTCCTTGCTCGTTCAGATTATTTCTTTGTCTTTGGCTTTCGATGGTTTGATTATAATACATCTCAGTATGAATCCCTTTCTGTTTGTTCTACTCAGAATTTGTTTAGGTTCTTAGATATGTTGGTAAAAGTTTCTCATGCTTTACGGTGTTCTACAAGTCTTTGAGGCGTTGTTTGTTTTTTATTTCTTTTTCTTTCTTTTCTGCAGGTTGCATAATTTTTGTCTATATTCAAGTTTGCTTATTTTGCCAGCTCAAATCTGTTCTCGAGTCCCTTTAGTAACAATTTCACTTCAGCTATTATACATTTAAACTTTAAAATTCCCGCTTGATTTTTAAAATAATTTTTGTCTGAATTGATAGTCTCTTTGATAAATAATTATTGCCATGCTTTCCTTTGCTTCATTAGACATGGCTTTCTTTGATGCTTTGAACGTATTTATAGCAAATGATTTGCTAAATAAAAACATCTGGCTCCCTAGTGCTCATCCATTTTCCAGTGGATGTGTCACAGTGTCCTCTGCCTTTGAGTGGCTCATATTTTGTTACTGTTCTTGAAAATTGGGCATTGTAAATAACATATGGCAGCAACCCTGTATTCTCATTCCCCCCGTGGAAGCTTGTTGTTCTTATGGCGGGTTTATTGACTTCCCCAGACCAAATCTATAGAATCTGTCTTTGCTGCTGTGTGGTCACTGATGTATCTGCCCAGTGCTTTTTAAATTCTGTGTTTTTGTGGGGGGTGAGGGATTGTTGTTGTTGTTGTTTTGAGCCCAGCCTTGTAGGAGTGGGCCCTGAGTTAGCAAAGCTTACTTGTCAGAAGTTTTGCTGAAACACATTGAACCGGTTCAACTTCTACTTTTTCCTGGTGGATCTATATTTGCTTTGGGAAATGCATTCTACGTCTGTGAAGTTTACATATCTGCCCAGCTTTTGCTTTCTGCATGTGCAAGATCTCACATTCATCCAGGGATGTTAAGACTTTCTCTGTCTTTCCAGAACACGTGTAAAGTCTTCAACATGTTTGTCACCCTAATATCATCTATGGTATGAATATAAAGTTGCTTATCAAAGCCCACTTTCACTATCTTATTTCCCAGAACTCCCTGCTATATTTCTTGCTGTTCTGCCAGTTTGCTGCATGTCCTAATCATTACTGCAACCACAAAATTTTGTTTATTGGTTACCTTTGAGATTTATATCATTGTCTGACAATGCCCCTGGGGACTTGGATATTTTCAAGTCATCCTCCTGTGGCAGCAAAGCTGCCAGTCCTCATGGGATGCCCCATCACTTGGTGTAACTTATGCCACAAACTCTGGATGAGGGTGGGGGAAATGGTTGCAGCCCCAGGCTAAACAAGTGTGTCCAGTTGTATCACTGCTTTTTGTGAAGGAGCTATTCCAAGCTCCCTACTCAGCTATTCCAGATGTTAGCACCTATCAATATTTTATTCCATTTTGAAACTGCTCCCAAAATAAGAAGTGTTTTACTGATCTCCATTTTTCAGTGCCTATTCTAAGGCTTGATACACATTAGAATATCTGTAAATTATCTTGAGTAAATAATAAAAAGCCTATTTTAAGCAGTCAGCATAAAATGCAGGACTTTGAATAGCCATCAGTTTAAAGTATTTCTTTACTTGTATCATAGAATTATTTCTCTTGTAAAACAACCAGATAATCATACTGTGAACTTTTCTAATTTCAGGCAAGCACAGAAACAAAGATTTATAAATATCAGTTGAGAAATGCAGATTCAGAAAGAAATAATTAAATGTCCTGGAGCTAAAAAACTTGTAAGAGTAAAAACAAATACGGTCCACTTTAGGGATTGTGAGTTCAATGTTACAATTACACAAATTATAATAATAACATGAGAGTATATTTTATTATTTCGGAAGAAAGGACTTCCATATTCTAATAATAGTAATAATGGCAACAATAGTAATAATAATGATGAAAAATACTGTTTTCAGAATGTGGAAAATTAAAACCACTCATTACGATGAGCAACTCATCATAATTCTCAGCCCTTGGACCTTGTGTATGAGCTACAATTTTACACATGCATCCAATAATTCACTTAATAAATAAAACATATGTGCCAGGTTCGGAAGGCACGAAGATGAGTCATCTCCACTTTGCCTTCAGGATATCACAGTCCAGGGAAGGAGACAGATCTGTAAGTGGGTAATTACCATAAAAAGTAGTACTAAAAATAAGTAGAAGGAGGATTTAATGGTCCAATCTATTAATTAGGTTAATATGAAGTGAAATGAGTTAGTACTTGTAAACCATAGACCACTGTCCAGCACTAGCAAGTGACAAATGGATGTTTGTCTCTTAGGAAAAAAAAAGGATTCAGCGTGGAAACAGCTCTGGATACTCCTCACTCTTCACCTTGCCCATAATAAGTACTTAGTTAATATCTAAATAGGTGAACAAGTTTACCTTTCTAGATGCCAGGCTAGGAAAAGGAAGACATTTTACTACTATTTGATGGGTTGAAAATACTAGAACTAGCTTAAACCAATATTTGGTAGACAAGATAGGGCACGTTCAGGGTGGTATGGCTGTAGACTAATATTTGGTAGAAAATCCACATATTAACTTTGCAGTTTCTAATTTCCCTTATGATTTTTTCTTTGACAATGTATTAATGGGTTTGTTTGTTTGGTTGGATGGTTTGGTTGGCTTCCAATATTTGGGCATTTTAAATGTATTGATATCTAAAGTATTTCTATCTTTGCTAGGGAACTTGTTTGTGTAATGTGAAGTTTTCTATATTTACTAATGGCTCTGAAGGTGTTCCGTCTTGGTGTATGTCCATATGCACTTGAACATAGTGTATTCTACTGTCATTGGGCAAAATGTTCTATAAATGTCAATGAGGTCACGTTGGTTGATAGCTTAATCCAAGTATTCTGTCTTGCTAATGATTTTTTGTCTCTTTTTTTTTTTTTTTTTTTGAGACAGAGTCTCTCTCCATTGCCCAGGCTGCAGTGCAATGGCACTGTCTTGGCTCACTGCGACCTCTGCCTCCTGGGTTCAAGCAATTCTCCTGCCTCAGCCTCCTGAGTAGCTGTGATTACAGGCGCCCGTCACCACGCCCAGCTAATTTTTTTTTTTTTTTTTTGTATTTTTAGTAGAGATGAGGTTTCACCACGTTGGCCAGCCTAGTCTCAAACTCCTGACCTCAGGTGATCCACCCGCCTCGGCCTCCCAAAGTGCTGGGATTACAGGCGTGAGCCACTGCGCCTGGCCTTTTGTCTTCTTGATCTATCAGTTATAGAGAGAAAAATCTGAAAATTTCTGATGTTAATTATACATTTCAAGTAAGACAGGTTCCCAGATGATCTTGGCCAACCCAGTTCTTCCTCCCGGCCTCCTTATAGTTCTCAAGAACTGTAGAATGTACTGAGAATGTAGTGCCCTGAGATAAGAAGAAACTGTCCAGAACAGACGAGGCTTTGTCCTTATCCAACCCAGAGCCCAATGTCCTGCAAAAATTTAGCTTTGTGGCCCAGTTACCCTCAGGGTATAAAGCCCAGAGTGGAATGCTTCCAGTGTCTCCCAGCTGTGGTGCAAAGTGGGACATGCACTTATGAGACTCCATCTGCCCTGTGCAACTCTCCCAAGCCTTAGGGTCTGACTGGCCATGATTCCAGGATTCTGTCAATCCTTGCTGTCTATATTTGAGAAATAAAGTTGCTTTTCATAACTTGTATGAATGTTCTGTCTCACCAGACTCATACTATGGCGGTTGGACTTGTGCAATATCTCTAGCAGATGGGTTTGTGCAAGACATGCCAGATATAGGGTCCTTACCAGAAATTAGCATGTTTATGGTCCTCTTTTGGGATTGATAATCAGTGCATGATACTCTGTTTAACAACATCCGTCTGTTTCTCCTTACAGTTCTAATCAGTTTTGCTTCTATGCTTTAAAGCACTGTTATTAATAGCACAAACATTTAAGATTGTTGCTTCCTCTTGACAAACTGACCCCTGTTATAATTTGAATGTGTCTCCTCCAGATTTCAAGTGTTGCCAATATAATAGTAATAAAAGCTGCAGCCTTTAAGAAGTAATTATGCCATGAGGGCTCCTTTCTTATAGCCTTACTACTATGGGCTATGAAGATATGGGATGAAGGCCTGTATAAAAGAGGCTTCGTGCAGTTTTTGGCTCTGTTGCGCCTTCTGCCACATGAGGACACAGCATCTCTCCTCTCAGGAGGATGCAGCAACAAGGTGTCATCTTAGAAGAAGAAAGCCACCCTCACCAGACAACCAAGCCTGATGGAACTTTGATTTCAGATTTCCAACCTCCAGAACTGTGAGAAAATAAATATCTGTTCTCTATGAATCACCCAGTCTAACATATTTTGTTATAGCAGCACCAACAAACTAATACAACCCCTTTATAACCATTAAATAACTTTTTTAAATTTCTCATGGTATTCCTTTCTCTAATATCCACCTGATATTAACATAGCTAACATGGTATTCTTTTGATTAGTGTTTGTTTGATATGTTTTTCATCTCTTTACTTTTAATCTATCTGAGATGTTATATTTGAAGTGAGTTGGTACAGAGAGCATAGAGTTGGGTCTTGCTTTTTGCATACAATTTGACAATCTTTGTCTTTTATTAGGGCCGTTGAGGACATTTATATTTAATGTGATTTTTAATACAGTTTTGTTTAAACCTAGCAATTGCTATGTTTTCCCTTTTTCCATCTCTTGTTTGCTTCTGTTTTCCCCCTTTCCTGAGTTTTATTGTGTTAATCAAGTACTTCTTTCCTAATTTTATTTTAACTCCATTACAGGCTCATTAGTATGAATGCTCCCTCTTTTTTTCCCTCTCTCTTTTTCCCCCTCTCTTTTTAAATGCTTTTCTAGGCTTAACAATGTACATCTTAAACTTATCACAGACTATCTTCTATGCTGTGCTGTTTCATAAACAGTGTGAGAATTTTACAAAAGTGTACTTTCATGTCCTTCCAGTCCTCCCTAATGGCACAAATTTTATTTAAAATATATTATATTTATTTACTGTACAATGTCAATTAGCACTTAAAGAAATTTTAAAATGAGAAAAAAGTATTTTTTATCCCCCTCTAGCATATTTATAGTTTCCAATGTCTTCCATTTATTTGTGTGTACTGTAATTTCCATCTGGAATCATTTTCCTCCCACTTAAAGAACTTCTTTAATATTTTTGGTAATGTTGGTTGACTGGCAGGGACTTCTGCAAGTTTCTGAATGCCTGGGAAGAAAAGGATACTTATTTTGCCTTCATTTTGGGGAAAAAATGTTTTTGTAGATATAGGATTATAAGCTTGACAGCTTTTTTCTCTCAGTGCTTTAAAGATGTGGGTTCCATTGTTTCTGATATTCATCCTCATTTTTATATGTGTTTCTCTATACATAATATGCCTTCTTTCCTCTGGCTGCCTTTAATACATTCTCTTTATCAGTGACTTACAGCAAGTTGATTGTGATGCTGCCTAGTATAATTTTTTTGTTCTTTATTCTGCTTGATGTTTGCTGAGCTTTCTGGAATTGGAATATAGTTTTCACTGAATCTGCAAAAATTTCAACTACTCTTTCTTCAGTTTTTTGTTTGTTTCTCTGTTATTCTTCTTTCCTTCTGGGAATGTATGACACATTTTTTAGGTGACATGTTCACTAGCTCATTGTTACTTTATGTTGTAGGCCTTTTTTTCTCTTTGTGTGTTTCATTTTAGATAGTTTCCATTGCTATTCCTTTAAGCCCATTAAACTTTTTTCTTCTTCAGCGTCTAATATGTTTTAATCCCATTCAGTGTAACTTTCCTATTTAGAAATTTACTAGTTTATCTCCAAAAGTTTTATTAGAATATTTTTACAGCTTCTATTTCTTTCATCATCATATCCATGTTTATTCTGCATTCTTGAACATTTGGAGTGTATTTACATTTGCTATTTTCATGTTATTGTTTACTAATGCTATCATCAATGTCATTTCTTGGTCTGTTTCTATTGATTGATGGGTTTTGTTTTGTTTTTGCCCCAATCCCTCTGTGCCTGGTAATTTTTTATTGGATATCAGACATCATACATTTTACATTTTTGGATGATGAATATCTTCATATTGTTTTAAATATCTTGGGGCTGTGCTCTGCAACACAATTAATTTACTTAGAGCTGAAGTTACTTAGAAACCTTTTGAGCTTTGTTTTTGATCTTGGTTAGGGAAGATCCAGAAGAGCCTTTTGTTTAGGGCTGATTTGGCCCCATTACTGAGAAAATGCCTTTCTAAGAACTCTACCCATGGGACATTATTAGGAAATATTTCTACTCTATCTGGTGGGGTCACAAACTATTCTGTCTTGTGTAAACTCTAGACATGTTCCCAGCTGGTTTCTTCCCTGTCCTTTGGAGTTTCTTCACACATATTCACAGACCAGGACTCAGCCAGAAGTGAGCCTGTTGATCTCCAGTGCTTGCTGTCTCTCTCTCAACCTCTCTCTCTCTCTCTCTCTCTCCCTCAGTCTCTCTATCTCTCTCTCTCTCTCGTGTGTGTGTGTGTGTGTGTGTGTGTGCAGTTCCTTCTTGGCTTAGACAATCTACATCACAAACTCACAAACTCTACTATCATTATTCACCTAAAACTCTGATCTCTGCCTCGTTAATTCAGCAGAAATGCTTGGCTGTGTTTGGGTTGTCCCTTTCCATCCTGTGGCCAGGAAGCTCTTTTCAAATACTTAACTGGGCACTCGTGAGGCTCAACTCACCTTCTCTTGAGGATACATTTCTTGAGCTGCCTATTTTCCATAATCTGAAAACCATTTGTTTTATATAATTTGGCTGGTTTTGTAGGAGTTTTATGGCAGGATGGTAAATCTAGTCCCTTTTATTATGGCTGAAGAAAAATTTATGAACTACAATATGAGTTTTTATTCTTGAAGTGATATCTCTTTAACATTCCTTCACTGGAAGATGAGCACTAAGCATATTAACATATGCTGTCTTTTCTCTTCTGCCTCCAAATCCCTTCCCAGGAAACTGCCCCCTTAGCTTCCATCTAAGACTGGCAGGCTTGCAGTGAGGTATTCTGGGTGAGCCGTATTTGAAACTAAGATCTTGCTATGGGAGAGAAAGTGATGTACATTCAACTGTCTCCTCCCATAACCTCATTTACATAAGATCCAGAAGTCATGCAGAAAAATATTTTATTCTTATTTGAATTCTGACATGGACTGACTTAGATCTATTGACAAGAGAGTAAATTTCAAATGACTCACCACAAAAAGATAGAAACATAAGTCAGGTGATAGATATATCAATTAACTTGTTCTAAGTATTTCACAGTGAATACATATATTAAAACATCATGTTGTATCCCATACTTGTATACAATTATGATTTGTCAGTTAAACAAAAAAAATTTGAATATTAAATTAAAATAATTTTACTTAAAATGCTGAGATTTTTTTCTATTGAAAAATTCTATTAGACCTTATTAGATAATTTAAGAAAAATCAAAATGTTCACAATGTGATGTTAGCATTCATCCATCTGGTTGCCAATGTAAAAAATCAATATTGTGCTTCACATGCTGTGTCTTAGTAGGTAGATAGCTACTTAAGAGTAATATGAATTATTTAATAATTTAAAATGTTCCTCGATTCCATGTGCAACTTTCCCAACCCCACAGTCATTCATATGCCTCCAAAGGTGGGAATTTGAAGGAGAAGAAGAGCAAGATAGCAGGCATTGAGCACTGTGGGGAAATGCGACTTGATGATGCAAGAATCCATGGCATCTCTGCTACCTCAGCAAGGCATCTGCACCCTGGGATGCATCAGCCCCTGGACTTCTGCACAACAGTGTCTTTGTCTCCTTGGCCCCGGGAAGTTGCCCCTTTTCTCTGGAGGACACCAGGAAGGAGAGGGTCCATAGCATATCCCTGACAGCTGCAGGAGCTGCCAGCCTGGCCACTCAGGGTCCTTTAAAGAATTTATATTCGGGAGGGTCTGTGACATGAAGGGCTCTTTATTTTTGAGATGTCAGGACTCTGTGGTCAGCTTGCAAGGAAATAAACACAAGAATTGAAAGTGAACCCTTAGAAAATTGAGTATGACTTACCAGTGGAATTTATGGCTGTTGAATCTAAAAAATCAAAAACAAAAACAAATGAATAGCAGGGCTTGTATTCCTTATGTCTTTTCATTTCTTTGTTCTAGTAATTTATTTCTATTATGTCTTATAAAAGTTTTGGGCTACAACAGATTAAAGGGAAAACAATATACTGACTTGTTCCCATAGAAATCTGAGAAATTCTCTAAATGTGGGCCTGAGTCTACAGCAGAACTCACACTGAGCTGGGGAAAAGAACACTTCTATAGAGTATCAGAAATTGTCTTCCCATTGACTCATTACATTCTCAAGTTCTCAATCAGAATCACTGGATAGCAGATTAATTTTACTTGGACTAAAGTGTGTCTTTTTCCCTCCAGGTTTATTGAGATACAATTGACAAATGTACATGATATATACTTAAGGTGTACCACTTGATGTTTTGATATAGGTATACATTGTGAATTAATCACCACAATCAAGCTAATTAGCGTATCTATCACCTCACATAGTTATCAACTTTATTTTGGTTGGGGGGAACACTTAAGATCTACCCTCTTAGCACATTTCAAGTATATAATAGAGTATTGTTCAATATATTCACATTGCTCTACATTAGCTTTCCAGAACCGATTCATCCTGTCTAACTGAAACTGTAAGACCTTTGGCCAACAACTCCCCATTCCTCCCAGCACACCTATAGTCCCTGGCAGCCATAATTCTATACTCTACTTCCATAATTTCAACTATTTCAGATGCTCTATAGAAGTGAGATCATGCAGTTTTGGTCCTCCCTTGCTTGGCTTATTTCACTCAGCATCACATCCTCCAGGTTCAGCTGTGTTGTCACAAATGGCAAATTCACTTTGTTTTTAAGGGCAAATAATATTTCATTGTACGTATATGCTACAATTTCTTTATCCATTCATCCAGTGACGGACATTTAGGACATTTCTACATCTAGGCTATTGTGAATTATAAAGTATGTCTTTTCTGTTTATAGATTTACTAGTTATCCTTTTACACAAGTCTGGATCACCACAGAAAATGGACAAGAAAATTTGGACGTGAAGATCAGATCCTTGCCGTGCCCTGATGGTAAGATCAGAATGGGAAGCTCACCTGTAATCAAACTGCCACTTCTTTACCCATCTGAAAAAACAACGATCCATGTTACTGAAACGGCCAAAGATCCCTCACCATATCCCCATTTGCCTACTGCTGTGAGTCATGAAAATAACCACCTAAGCGATTTTTCTCAAAGGTAAAGGACAATATCTCTGCCATTAAATGTGAAGTGTGGTGAGTTATGGAACATGCAGCTATACAGGCAAAGTCACCCCAGTGCTGTCTCAGCCACACACATAGCCCAGCAGCCTGACAGGTTGGAGTCAGGTGGCATTCTCCCTCTTGAAGGGGTTTAAAAGTGAAATGTGGGAAGTAGAGTCAATAATTCTTATCATCAATAACAGCCACAGTGGTCAAATATCTCCTTTGAGGTAGCCTGACAATGGAGAGTTCACTTATATTAATTCATTTAATAGCGACAGAAATTACAAAATCTGTTCTATTATCATTTTACAGACAAGGAAATGAAAACACAGGAAGTTTGTGTAGCTTATGTGAGGTTTCATGGTTATACCAGTGCCTGTTCTCTCTGGGCTACTTACTAGACAAAACTGCTTCAACCTCATTTTGTTTGTCCATTTTTAAATCTCAATAAAGACAAAACGTTTTTCTTTGGCCTTTAAACAACATCAGCTGAAATAAGTTTTCTAAAATTAATTTGTTGTTGTTTTATACTGCTTCATGTTCAAGGACTCAAAATTTGAAATAGCTGGTGGAGTGAAATTCAGCTAGATTCAATGTTTCTATCCCACAGAAATTTTTTAAAACTTGGAGTTTAGAATGTTGACCTTATAAGATGGGTGGCACACATTGATGTGCCCAATGTCATACCACAAGTTGGTGGCAGGGAGACTCAGTGATGTGCTAGAGCTGGTTTGTTATAACTCAAGAGAGCCCATTGTTAAATACTTGAGAATTTGGCTAGCCACTTGTGAAACCTTTGGTACCTTGAAATCTTGAAATCAGTCATGATGGAGTACTTATACCAGGCAAATTGCCAAACACAACAGAAACAAAACAAAAGAGAAAACAAAACAAACTTGCTTGCTTGCTTGATTATTTTCCAGAGAACAAGTTTAACATCATACCACTATTTGCTTTCCAGTATCCAGAATGAAATCTTACAGCCTTCTTCTTAGAACTTGGCAAATATTTAATGAGAGAAAATGAGAAAATGTGAAATTGACTAGGTTGCATATTTTTATCTACCTTCTAATAGTATGGCTATAGGCGCAAACCTATGAAAGTTTACAATTACTTCCTGCTTGATTTGGCTTTAATGATCTATACTGAAGAGACTCCCCTAAGTACTAGCTCTATCCAAAATATCTTCAGAACTAAAAAGTTAAAGAAAAAGAACTAACATGGACCTATTAAGGACTTCAATTACCCATTGGAAAGATGAAGGAAGCTGGCCTTGTTGAATATTTCTTTAACCAAATTTACTACAGAATAATCAAAAATATCTGAATTATTCTCCGATACTGAAGTCCCAGGAGTGAAGGAGAAGAGTCCCAGGAGTGAAGGAGAAGAGTGGTTTGAGAGAGAGTTAGATATTAGGAAGAACCCCTCAATTTTCATGGACTTGAGAGCTGGCAACCTGGACAAGCTGGTCTCCCTCTAGTCCAGGCTGAGTATGTCTGGCTGGCTATGTGAGCACTTAGGAATCATGCCAATGAAGATATCTGATAAGAACATTTTAGTTTCTCAGACTTAAATATGATATGGTTTGTACATAAGGTCCATGGAGACATGAACTCAAATTCCCTGCCTTAACTCCAACAACGAGAGATGTGCACCTACCCAGAGTAGTGTAGCACCTACCCAGAGGCCCAAAGGCCTCACCTTCTGATACCATCACATTGAAGGTTAGGATTTCAACATAACAATTTTATGGGAACACAAATGTTCAGTTAATAAAATTTCACCCCAGGTCCCCAAATTCATCTCTTTCTCACATGCAAAATATGTTCATTCCATCTCAACAACCCCAAAAGCCTTAGCTTGTTTCAACATCAACTCTAAATTCTAAAGTCTGAGGTTCATCTATTTAAATCAGATATGGATGAGGCTTGAAGTGTGATTCATCCTGAGGCAAATTCCTCTCCAGCTGTGAACCTGTGAAACCAGACAAGTCGTGTGCTTCCAAAGTATAATGATGGATCAGGCATAAAATAGACCTCCCCATACCAAAAGGAGAAAGAGCAAGGGAAAGAGAGACAGTTGGCCTCAATGAAGCCCAAAACCTAACAAGGCAAACAACATTGAATCTTAAATTTCAAGAATAATTATTTGGGTTGATGCTCTGCCTTCTGGATGCACTGGGGCAGCCGTGTCTCACTCACAGCTTGACAGGGTGCTGCCCACTCTGTGGCTCTCAGCCAGGGACCCTCAGCTCTCCTGGAGTGTGGACTCCAGGTGACTGCATCCTATTTAAACAACAAACATCATGTTGGGGGTTAGGATTTCAACACTTGAATTTGGGGAAATGCTGAAACATTGAGTCCATCATATGCAGCTACTGTGTTTAGCCACACCCCTTGTTGTTGAAAGCCCAGCAGTGACTCAGGGGCTTTGCGCTCATGAGGCTTACATTCAAGCCATATTTATATCTAAATCGCTAAATCTACCAATAGGAAAAAGTGGCTGACCTCCACAACTAGGAAGAAGTCCAACTCACCAGCTTTCCCCAAGGACGGTAGCTTGTAATTTTTAGAAAGAGGCTTGAATAGGAACCACAAAGCCACAATTCTCAACTCCCAGGAATTCTAAAGGCTCAATGCACTTTCATAATGGAAAAGTGATTCTCAGAAAATTGTCTTCTAGGCAATTATATTGGCTTTTATTAACAATTCTGAGAGTAGAGGACCTACCATGTGCAAAATCTCAGATGGATTACACAATACCATTTACAATTGCTCCAAATGTATATATTCAGGTATAATTCTACCAAAACATACAGAATCATGTGGAAAATTTTAAGTACTAATTTTTTTATTAAAAATTACCTACATAAATTGAGAGACATCCATACAATGGATAAGATACCACCCATGGATAAGAGACTCAATATAGAAATATGTCAATTCTTTCAAATTGACCTATGAGTTTAATACAATTCCTGTAAAAATCCCAGCAAATTTTTTTTACAGATATAGACAAGCTCGTTCTTGCATTTATATGGAGAGGACAGAGCCTACAATAGCAAAAACATTTCATAAAACAAGAATAAACTGAGAGGAATCACTCAATCTGCTGTTAAAGCTTACTGTATAGCTACAGTAATCAAGACAGTATAGTACTGCTGGAGGCAGAGACACATAAAATGGAACAGAATTGAAAATCCAGAAATAAATGCACACACATATGTCCAATTGATTTTTAATGGACTTTTTTTAGAGCAGTTCACAGCAAAAACTGAATGAAAGGTACAGAGACTTTCCATATACCCCCTACTGGCACACAGGCACAGTCTCCCTCATTGTCCGTATTCCCCCGCCAGAATGGTACATTAGGTGCAATCAATGAACCTACATTGACACATCGTTATTATTCAGAGCTTACAGTTTCCATTAGTGTTCACTCTTGGTGTTGTAAATTCTATGAGAATAAAATATGTAATAACATGTATCCAACATTAAAGTATCATTCAGTATAGTTTCACTGTCCTATAAAAACCTCTGTGTTCCACCTATTCATCCCTCCCTCCCCATTAACCCTGGGCAACCAATACTCTTTTCACTGTCTTCATACTTTTGCTTTTTCCAAAATATAATTAGTTGGCATCATACAGTATGTAGCCTTTTCAGATTGGCTTCTCTCACTTAGTAACATGAAATTAAGCTCTCTCCAAGTCTTTTCATGGTAAATAGCACTGAATACTATTTTGTTGTCTGATGTAACACAGTTTGTTCATCCATTCACCTACCAAAGGACTTCTTGGTTGCTTCTAAGTGTTGGCAATTATGAATAAAGCTGCTGTGAACGTCCAATGTAGGCTTTTGTGTGGACATAAGTTTTCAGTTCCTCTAGATAAATACTAAGAAGCATGACTGCTGGATCATATAGTAAAAGTATGTTTAGTTTGTAAGAAACCATCTATCTGTCTACCAACATGGCTGTACCATTTTGCATTCCCACCAGCAATGAATAGGCATTCCTGTTATTCCACATCCTTGCCAGAATTTGTTTTGTCATGTCAATTGATTATTGACAAAGGTGCAAAAATAATTCAATGAAAGAAGAGCAACCTTCGCAATAAATGGATGTTGGAGCAATTGGACATCCAGAAGAAAAAATAACAACAAAAAGAAGAATCTCATCCTAAACCTCAAATCTTATATGAAAATTAACTCAAAATGAATCACAGACTTAAAAGTAAACAAAATGCAAAACGCTTTTAGAAAAGAAAATGAAGAAAATTTTTAGGATCTAAGACTTGGCAAGGTCTCAGACTCAGCACCAAAAGCATGGTCCATAAAATGAAAATTTTATAAGTTGGACTTCATCAAAATGAAAACTTTTGCCTTGCAAAATGCCCTATTAAAAGAGTTAAGAGAAAAGCTACAAACCAGGAGAATATATTTGCACACCACATATCCACCAAAGATCTTTTGTCTAGAATATATAAAGAGCTCTCAAAATGAAGTAGTAAAAATCATTCAATCAAACTAGAAAATGAGAGAATGAAAGGAACCAATGTTTCACTAAAGAGGTTCACTAAAGAGGATATACAGGTGACATTCAAGCATGTCAAAAGATGTTTGACATCATTAAACATGGGGGAAATAAAAATTAAAACCACAAAGAGTTATCACTACACACCTGCCAAAACAGCTAAAATAAAAAAATAGCTGGAGTGCCACATGCTGGCAAGGATGTGAGAAAAGTGAACCACACATACATTGCCAGTAGGAATGTAAAATAGCACTATCACTCTGCACATAGTTTGTCAGTTTCTTAACAAAACTAAAAATGCACTCTCCATATATCCCAGCCACTGCACCCTTGGCATTTATTACAGAGAAGCAAGAATTTAAACGCTCACACAAAAATCCGTACACAAATGGTCATAGCAGCTTTATTTGTAATAGAAAAAATTAGAACCAAGCAAAATATCCCACAATGGGTAAATGCTTAAACAAATGGTTTTAAAAAATCCATACCATGGAATATTATCCAACGAGGAAAAAAAAAGGAGGAATTATTGATATACACAACTGGGATGGGTCTCAAGATATCGAGGGAAAAAAGCCAATCTCAAATGGTCACATATTAGATGATTCAATTTATATAAAATTATTGAAATAAAAGCATTACAGAGATGGAGAACTAATTAGCATTTATCAGGGATTAGGGATGGGCATCAGGATAGGGTGGTGGCTGTGGCTATGAGAGAGTAGCATGATGAACCCTTGTTTCCAACTTGTTCCATGTGATAATATTGCACATAACTAAATACACACAGGCAAAATGAATGCATGTCAAACTAGTGAAATACGGGTAGGTCAGTGTCAAATTCCCAGTCCTGACATTGCACTATAGTTACGCAAGATGTTACTTTTGGAGGCAACTGAGTGAAGGGTACATGGGACCTCTCTATATTAATTCCTACAGCTGCATGGGAATTCACAAGTATCTGAATTTTAAAGCTTAATTCAAAGAAGTTATCTATTCAGAAAATAAAAACTCATTGCTGCACCCTCCACCTCAAAAAATCTAACTTCCTGTGGAAAAATGTGATTCCAGGTATAAAGCAGGGCATTTAAAATATGGCCCTTAATTCTAACAGGAAGCAAAGCAGCTGCTGAAAACCAATGAGGTCATGTCAGGAAGATTCAGGAGCCACCTGGCAGTAACTCCTATTGCCAAAGTTGGGACAATTCGAGCACCAATGAGGATAAAGACTAAAATAAATTAAAATATATTGATAATGTTTAAACCCATGCAATCTAAATAATGTTTGAAAAACAAAACCCTCATTGGTCACTTTGGGATGATGCTAGGTAACCAATTATTCATTTTGAAAATTAGGATATAAAGGGGGAAAATCAACTATTCATCTTGCTTTATTTTAAAGGAACATAACTCAGGGTAATAAAACTTATATAGATAAGATTATCTTTAGAATATTTAGCTAAATCAGAATAATAGGAAGGAAATATCATTTTGCAACCTCTACTGATATAAAAGATTTATGCAATAGGCTGGGCGCAGTGGCTCACGCCTGTAATCCCAACACTTTGGGAGGCCGAGGAGGGTGGATCACAAGGTCAGGAGTTGGAGACCAGCCTGACCAACATGGTGAAACTCAGTCTCTACTAAAAATACAAAAATTAGCCAGATGTGGTGGTGCACACCTGTAATCCCAGCTACGCAGGAGGCTGAGGCAGGGGAATCGCTTGAACCCGGGAGGCAGAGGTTGCAGTGAGCCGAGATCATGCCATTGCATTCCAGACTGGGCGACAGGGTGAGACTCTGTCTCAAAAAAAAAAAAAAAATTTATGCAATATTCTTCAGGAGAGCTGACTTCTCACAAACATCACAGATATATTGTGCCTCCTTCTGTATGCTCATGAGACCATGTTGCAAGATTCTTCCCACAAAATCGAATTCGCATCTGATAAAGTCTCTATTTGGCCATTAGAAAGGGGATATTGGAAACAAAAGGAGCATATTAAATTACAGCAAGGAGATACAATCAGCAAAGTCCAGTGTGGGGAATTCTATAGGACAATCTAGTTTCTTTATCAAATAAACTGGGGAAAAAAATAAGGAGAAAAAGGAGGAGGAGGAGGAGGAGGAAAAGGAGATGGGGGATGAGGAAAAGAGAGATGAAGAATGGGGAGGGAGAGGAGAGGAACAGAGGAGTGACCCTGAAAATTTACGAAGACAAAATATAAACCAAAATAAATATCTATATTTATATATATCTATCTCTATATATTAGTTCTTATTTTTTAAAGAAACGTTGAGAAATATACGTGAGTAAAATGATAACTGGGATTCCTGAGATGTCTGAGATTGCTTCAAAATAATTCAGGGATAGGGAAGTGGGTAAGAAGATGGGCCATAAATTGACAATTGCTGAAGCAAAATAATACATCCATGAAGGAGATTAACTTTACTCTTCTTCATATGGAAAACAGTAAATATATAGGCAGTAAATATGGGAAGAGTAAGTATACATAAGAGTAAATATATATCTTCTCCAAACATGTGTGTGTGTGTGTATATATATATGTACACACATACATATATATATACATATATATACATGCATATATATATACATATATATATACATGCATATATATATATATATATGATATTTTTCATAACCAAAGTAGCTTGAGTGTAGACAATGGAGAGCCCATTTATATTCTCCCAATTCCCTGGGATTTCTTCTAGGGATGTCTGTCATTATGCTTTCTTGTGTAGAGCCATTAGGAAAAGTAAACACAGTCATCCGTGGTCAAATTTTGTGCTCACTTACAGTAAAAAACAGTAACCACAACAGCATGGTACTGGTACCAAAACAGAGATGTAGACCAATGGAACAGAACAGAGCCATCAGAAATAATGCCACATGTCTACAACCATCTGATCTTTGACAAACCTGACAAAAAGAAGAAATGGGGAAACGATTCCCTATTTAATAAATGGTGCTGGGAAAACTGGCTAGCCATATGTAGAAAGCTGAAACTGGATCCCTTCCTTACACCTTATACAAAAATTAATTCAAGATGGATTAAAGACTTAAATGTTAGACCTAAAACCATAAAAACCCTAGAAGAAAACATAGGCATTACCATTCAGGACATAGGCATGGGCAAGGACTTCATGTCTAAAACAACAAAAGCAATGGCAACAGAAGCCAAAATTGACAAATGGGATCTAATTAAACTAAAGAGCTTCTGCACAGCAAAAGAAACTACCTTCAGAGTGAACAGGCAACCCACAGAATGGGAAAAAATTTTTGCAATCTACTCATCTGACAAAGGGCTAATATCCAGAATCTACAATGAACTCAAACAAATTTACAAGAAAAAAACAAACAACCCCATCAAAAAGTGGGCAAAGGATATGAACAGACACTTCTCAAAAGAAGACATTTATGCAGCCAACAGACACATGAAAAAATGCTCATCATCACTGGCCATCAGAGAAATGCAAATCAAAACCACAATGAGATACCATCTCACACCAGTTAGAATGGCTATCATTAAAAAGTCAGGAAACAACAGGTGCTGGAGAGGATGTGGAGAAATAGGAACACTTTTACACTGTTGGTGGGACTGTAAACTAGTTCAACCATTGTGAAAGTCAGTGTGGCGATTCCTCAGGGATCTAGAAATAGAAATACTATTTGACCCAGCCATCCCATTACTGGGTATATACCCAAAGGAGTATAAATCATGCTGCTATAAAGACACATGCGCACGTATGTTTATTGCAGCACTATTCACAATAGCAAAGACTTGGAACCAAGCCAAATGTCCAACAATGATAGACTGGATTAAGAAAATGTGGCACATATACACCATGGAATACTATGCAGCCATGAAAAATGATGAGTTCATGTCCTTTGTAGGGACATGGATGAAGCTGGAAACCATCATTCTCAGCAAACTATCGCAAGGACAAAAAACCAAACACTGCATGTTCTCACTCACAGGTGGGAATTGAACAACGAGAACACATGGACACAGGAAGGGGAACATCACACACTGGGGCCTGTTGTGGGGTGGGGGAGGGGGGAGGGATAGCATTAGGAGATATACCTAATGTTAAATGACGAGTTAATGGGTGCAGTACACCAATATGGCACATGTATACATATGTAACTAATCTGCATGTTGTGCACATATACCCTAAAACTTAAAGTATAAAAAATGTATATGTAGAAAATGCAAAAATATATTTATATATATGTAACCCACTGCACAATGATTCTCCACACACAGTAAATTATTTGTGTCACAGACAATTACATAATTATGGAAATAGAATAAAAGGTCACCAGCTGGAAATGTGGCCATTTGGTTGGGTTCAGAAACCACAGGGAAAGAAGCAATATCCTAAGCTTCCTCCATGAGACTTCACTAAGCCTTTCTGTCAGATTCACTGCTAGAATCTGGTACTCTTCCTGTTTATTCTTTTTATAAGAATTTTATTTTGGGTTTGCTTTGCTTTAACTTTATTTTTATGTCTATTTTTTGGAAAGAAAAGCTAAAACAAAATGTTGTTGAGGGTTTTCTTTGTGTTGTTTTGTTTTCTTATTTTTTGTACCTCTCCACCTCAATATTTCTACATTATTAACATGTATTAAATAACGCTGACTAGAAGAGATTTAGAAATGCCAGTGGAAAATAGTGGCATGCATATTTCTAGAATGTCAATCAATTGAACACTTTTTTATCTTTATTATTATACTTTAATTAAACATTTTTAGGGAAAAACATGTTAGCTATTATGCATTGTGCTAAATTAGGGAAATCATACTATATCAATGTATCCCCACCACAAACGTTTGCCCATTTTAGCTAAGAAAACTGCATCTCAAGAAACCAAGTAAAGCTCTCTAAGTTATATAAATATAAAGTGACAAAGAATGGAGCCAGGCTTATTTATTTATAAAGTTTATGCTTTTATATATTTACAATGTCCAAGCCTTTTAAAATTTATGCCATATATATTTATATAAGTATATAGATAAAATAAAATAGAGCATAATTTGATGTGCTGTAGTAGGAAAAGAAACCAAGATGGGCCATATCTCAAAAGAGTCAAGCTATAGAGAGGAAGGTAAGTAGGGATAACCTTTCCATGTAAAAATTTATTCCCCGCGTTTTTTGGGAAATTGTTGTTTCAAATCCCGAATCTCAAGAAAAATAAGTTGAAAAATGAGAAAAATTGGGAAAAGTTTGTTGATTCTTCTGAGTAAATTAAAGCTCAACAATCAACATAGAGGTGGTGGTGGGTGGAAAAGATCCACCCATGGCCAGTCAAAAGCAAGAGCAGGAAACGTGGGCATGAGGAATCGAAGGTTAAGAGGTGCACAGGACAGAAATTTCTGTAACCTAATCAGCCTGTGTTTCTCATAGTTGTTGCTATACCATTAGGGTGTTCGCAGCCCTGTCTGCTGCTAACAGTAAGTCATTCTGAAATAAGTATAAATATGTTTATATGCATCGTGTATTTTATACAAACCCTGCAAGTGATGTTACAAGAAATAAGTTTTTAAAACAAAATAATTCTTTAACTTCACAATTGTACACATAATTCTATATAGCGCTATTAACTTTGGTAGCTGACCTAGGTATTAAATACTACCCAATAATATTTGCTCATGTTTTCCAGGGTGCGCACATTCACTGTTTGTTAGAGACTACGTCATAGTACTACATTGTAATTTATTATTTATTAGGTAATTTTGAGATATCCATAATACAGAGTACAAAAATGTTGAAAGCATAAGAGATAAGGGAAGTCATTTATCTCATAACCAGATATATTTGAATCACTGCAAAGCAAAGCATCATCTACTTCAGCACCCTGGATATTATCATAGCATTATTGGCAAAATAAAGCTCTAAAAATAATACTCATAAGCTGATGCCAACTACTCTTAAGGAACAATACAGTAGGGATGGAAATGGTGGTCTGTAACATTTGCCAAATCCCACATGTAGCTATATCCTCCACAGCGGCCAACTTTAAGCTACCAACATGATGTCACTGACTGTGGAGTTGAGAAGAGATGACGTGAGTTGGTTCACAAGCTGATCCCAGAACACCATTGAAAAAGACAAGATTTGGAGAAAAAAAAAAAACATGAAACTAAATTTGTTAGGGCAAGTTTCTTAAGCAAGGGACTGCAATGGCCAAAACGTCCATCATCAATTATTGCGTTAATACATAACTTTTACAATACAATGGAACAACTGCACATCAATTTGGCACTTTCAAATGCGAAAATAAGAAAATAAACATTTAGGTAGATGAGTGGCCAGTTATCAGAATCAAAGATACATGAATGTTCATGCATGCTACATTGAAACTTCATTGACTCTTGGTTTAATAAGAATTCATGGGAACTATTCTGGAGAAAAACTATTGTCTTTACTTGAGAAAAGATTAGAAACTTTTGAAGTAGAACTTGAAGCAGATGTTGTTGTGTGGTAAGCAGTGTCTAAGATAGCTTCCAGTGATCCCCTTCCTTTGAGGGTGGGCCAGATTTGGTGACCTGCTTTAAACCAATGGCCCAAGTGATGAGTGGTCACTCCCAAAAAGAGGTTATAAAAAAACAGACTTCAGTTTTGGGTTGTCTTTCTTGCTCTCTCTTGGATCACTAGCTCTGGGGAAGCCAGCTGCCATGCTGTGAGGGAATCCTGTGCAAAGGCACCATGTGGGTGACCCTAGAAGCGCATCTTCTGAGGCTGCCAACAAGTACATGAGTGAGCTTGGAAGCAGGTCCTCTCCCAGTTGAGCCTTAAGATGCCTCCCCTCCCACCCAGCCAACAACTTGACTGCAGCCCCTTGACAGACTTGAGCCAGAACCACTTAGAACACAGAAACTGTGAGATAATTAAATTTTTTTTTAACTGTTAGGTTTTGGAGTAATTTGTTACACAGTCATAGCTTACTAACACTGATTACCAGCACAATCACAGACAAATTCAGAAAGTTATCACTGATGAGCATGCATTTCACCTTGTGACTAAAGTATCTTACACCAATAGGAGGTTGATGGACAAAACATGAAAAACAAACAGCAGCAGAAGTGAATGCACTACAACTTTGAAAAACCAGAATAGTGAAAACAATAACTCTGATCTGGTTGTGGGTCAAATCTAAGCAGTATCATCTGTAAAATGCCTCTGCCACAGTTTTTAAATATAAGAAAAATTATAAAGCTCTTTAAATCATTCTCTCATGAGAATTAGTTTTTTTTTGCAGAAAGAAATACTCAAGAATGAAAAAAATAAAATTATAAGTCATTTTGGATACTAAATGGATATATTATAAAAAATGATCCAAAGGCTTTTAAAAAGTCCATATCAATAAAATTGCTTTTTGGCAGCTGAAAGTCAGTCATTTATAGAAGGGGAACTTTACGAAGTTGTGAGTGATGCATGAACTTGCTTTAAGCTTGCTATTTATATGAAGTGAGAAAGGACAACTTTTTTGCAGTCAAAAATGAAATTGTTGATTTAGCAAGATCACCAATGGATAGATTTTTAAGAGAAAATGTGCTTCAGTGGAAGAAATTTATGGAGAAAACATGAGAGTTGCTGTGAAATGCTCTCTCATGAGATGAGAGTGAATCAGCAACTGAAGTAGCAGGAGCAAAATCAATGTCGATGGTAAAACCAAAACCAGGGCAAGCAAGTGTTAAAAGAAAAAAAAAGAAAGAAAAGAAAAGAACTTAGCAGAGGCAATGTGCACTGAAGGCCCAACTTGAAAATATGTTTTGAACAATTCAAGCAATGGCAATGAAAACTGAAAGACATTTTTCTATGTCTGAACCATTTGTCATGAAAGATTAAGCTTGCAAATAGTACAATGCCTGATTTGTGAGTTTTCAGCCTCCACTGTAGAAATGATAAATGTTCATATTAAATAAGTGTGGTGTCATTGTTCAAACTTTTAACATTATTTGGCATTTACTTTGTGTTAATGTTCCCTTCTTTTATCATTTTCTTTATTAAATGGGTATATCATATAGCAATCACATTAAGATGTTCCTGAATATGTGAACCTATCACAATGTAAGAGTTCATCATAATAACAAACCGTGCTTTGCATTTATTGTTCCATCTTTTTTATCTTCCATAAAATCTCTGAAACTTGTAGTATCCAAAAAAATGGATTCACTATTTAGCCACTCATTATTTCAAAACATACAGAGTGCTATGAAAAACACAACATAATTTATGTTCCAACTATCTTGTAATTATCCATGAACATCACTCATGGCTGCCATGTGTGCATGTGTGTGCACATCTGTGTGTACATGTGTATTCACATTCGTGTGCCCCTTTATGTAACGACAGGACTTTTGCTATATTATATTCTTATTTTAAAAACAAAGAAACTGGCCAGGCGTGGTGGCTCACGCCTGTAATCCCAGCACTTTGGGAGGCCAAGGCGGGCGGATCACCTGAGGTCGGGAGTTCGAGACAAGGCTGACCAACATGGAGAAACACCATCTCTACTAAAAATACATAATTAGCTGGGTGTGGAGGCACATGCTTGTAATCCCAGTTACTCGGGAGACTGAAGCAGGAGAATTGCTTGAACCCAGGAGGCAGAGGTTGCAGTGAGCTGAGATGGCGCCATTGCACTCCAGCCTGGGCAACAAAAGCAAAACTCCATCTCAAAAAGAAAAAAAAAAAAAGAAAGAAAGAAAAAGAAACTAAGGCCCATAAAATCCTCGTCACCTGAGAAATGAAAAAAAAAAGAAAATGTTTACATCCCATGGCTATTGCAATGATAACACAACAACCTGTACAGAAAATGTGCAAAATGATGTCTGGCATTTGGTAAGTCTTGAATGAATGTCAGCTATTAAAGTAACTACTTGCGGCCAGGCGCAGTAGCTCATGCCTGTAATCTTCACACTTTGGGAGGCCGAGGTGGGCAGATCACCTGAGGTCAGGAGTTCGAGACCAGCCTGGCCAACATGGTGAAACTTCGTCTCCACTAAAAAATACAAAAATTAGCTGGGTGTGGAGTCAGGTGCCTGTAATCCCAGCTACTCGGGAGGCTGAGGAAGGAGAATTGCTTGAACCCGCGAGGCAGAGCTTGCATTGAGCCAAGATTGCACCATTGCACTCCAGCCTGGGAGACAGGGCAAGACTCCATCTAAAAAAAAATAAAATAAAACCTAGTTGGAAAAAACTATGTTTCAATAGAAAGGAATAGATGTTTTAAATCCCCCTTTTTAGGTCATGTTAAGACTCGAGGAGAGCCACGCCTGGTCTGGGGCTTGCGGGCTGGGGCCTGGAGCCAACAGGCAGAGGAAAGGCAGGCTGCTGCTCCAGCACTGGCTGCTGGCCCCTGTGGCCTGGACAGAGGCTAAGCAGCTCCCAGCTTCCTGCACTCCTCCCCTCAGTCCCCTGCTCCACCAAATCAGTGGGTTCTTCCAAAATTCTGTGGAATCACAACATTCCTCACTAGCTCACCAGGCCTCAATGTGTCCCCAGTGCATTAGAATAAAATTCAGATGCCTCGCCATGGCCCACAGGCCCCTGGGAACCCAGTTCCCTTCACTTCTCCACCCTCGCCTCACAGTTTGCTGCTCCTCTCTCTGAGGCCAGACACAGGGGATTCCCTCAGCAGCTCCAATACAGCAAGCCCTTCACCACCCCAGGCCCTTTGCACGGCTGGTCCCTCTGCCTGGGAGACTCTTGCCCTGCTCCTCACAAGGCCCTTCCAGTCCTCAGGTTGCACTTAAGATCCTGCTCCGGAGGGACTCTGCCCTGATCAGCCACAGGGACCCCTAAACATACTCTTTCCTGGCTCAGCCCACTTCTTTGTGTCTTTCCCAGGAATCCCTTTCATCTTGACTATGTCTTCCCTCACTGTTAATGTGCTGACTCTTGGGCTCCCAACTGGACCATCATGTCTCTGAGGACCCAACTCAGACTCTATTTCCACATCTATTCCACATTGCAGAATACATATTTAATAAATGAATTGATTAATGCATCTTGTCTGGTTACGCAGACTCTGGCTTTACCTGTGACCATCTCTTCTGATATAAATGACTATGTTCTAGTAATTCTCAAAGTATAGCCTTGTGTGCCCCTTAGCCCACAGGTTCTTGGCAAAGAGAGTGCCTTGCTGACCCCAAGGGCCCAGCTTGTGCATAGGATGAATCTGAGAGAACACACTAGAGCAAGTTCCTGAGGGTGGCTCGCAATACAGTGTTCCCTGGGCCTGGAGCAGTGTCAGGCACAGAGGCCTGTATCAGCCTGGTTGGCTGCCATAGCAAATACTGCACAACCTGGGTGGCTTAAACCGTGAAAATATATTCTGTCCTGGAGGCTGGAAGTCCAAGGTCAGGGTGTTGGCAGGCTTGGTTTCTCCTGTGGCTTTTTTCCTGGATGTGTAGATGGCCATCTTCTGCCTGTATCTTCACATGCTTTTTCGTGTGTGTTTCTGTGTGCGTGTGTGTCTGTGTTCTAACTTCCTCTTCTTATGAGGACCGCAGTCATATTGGATCAGGGCCCATCCCAATTACCCCACTTAAATGTAATCATCTGTTTAAATGACTCATCTCCAAATACAGTCATATTCAGAGGTGCAAGGGGTTGAGAATTCAACATATGAATTGAGAAACGGTCATAATTCAGTCATAACAGGGCCCAAGTACATATTGTTTGAACATTGAATATTGTTTTCTAAAATTGTAAATAAGTGAGTTAGCATCATGGCTAACCATTTTATTAGCTTGGTAACATGAGGTTTAGGGCTAATCTTTAAAGCCTTTCTACCTCCAAGCATCCTCTAAGTGTGTCCAGATAATGCAAATGTCCTTGGAGCCCAGGGGTGGGTCCATGACTTGACAAAATAAAACACCCACAACAGAAGGCCTGACATCAACTCAGTGCACCCCACACCCCAGGGCTTGTTTCAGGCTGGGGTCCACAGTCATTGCTTCATTATCAGTGTCACTAGTGGATTTAGGGTTAAGTCTTGTGCTTTCACAATGGGAAGTAGAAACCACAGAGAGAAATAAATGTTGTCTTGGAGCTAGGGACAGCACCCCAGAAGACTCCAAGGCAAAGAGGGTCTTGGGGAGAAGCAGGACACAGAGAGATGCCTGGGGAGATTCAGGCTGGAGACTGAGCAGTGGGTGCCAACAGCCTCACACAGGGCAGTCGAAGCTCCTTTTCAAAGCCACCTTAATGAAGTTCCAACCAAGAAATATTGCTAATAGGACTAGAATTGTTCCCCAAAATAAATTATTTTCAAAATCTGATTGTTTACCTAAAATAGCTCCAGTGTTAATATCGATCTTCTAAGAAAAATTTAGAAAAGGTACATGAAGTAAAAGCATTAAAATAACTTTTTTATCAACTCAAACTCCAATTTATCCTTTCAATGAAGCCCAATGTAAAGGGTTTGGACCCCGGAGATGTGGAGACTGAATGTGATTACTGTTCTCAGAAAACCTTCTGGTCATAGGATGAACACGTGCTTTACCGCTATTAAAGATACAAAATAACTTTTATTCCAAAAATTATCACTTACATCTCAACTGATACATCTATACAAATTTAGCCAGCTCTAGTAGCAATACAAATGAACACATTTCTTAAAGTTATTGGATTTAGATGTAAATTGTTTGTCCAAGGGTTAAAAGAAAATGTAAAGTAATCTAACAGTTATTTGGGCTGATACTAATATACAAAAAATCTGATTATTATTTTTCCCTGAGGAATGGAGTAGACACCCAAGAACCTCTCATCCCATCATCTCTAAGCATCTCCTTCCTGAACTCACCCTAGACATGGGGTCCTCAAAGTGTGTTCCAGGAGCCTCTGTGGAGTTCACAGTAAACCTTTAAGGAGTCCACTAAATCAGAACTACTTTTGTAATAATAATGAGACGTTATTTGCTTTGTTCAGTGTTATTAACTCAGGAGTGTACACTGGAGGTTTCTACAAGCTACCTGAATCGACATCACAGAAGACGAATGCAGAAGCAGCTATGAGAATGCGTCTCCTATATAGCCAAACATAGACTTGCAAAAAATAGAAAACAATGCCATTTGTCACTATGTTTTTCAGAAAATGTATTTGTATTAATAATACATTATGTATGTATGTGTTTAATGGAGAAACAGAACTGTTTTCTCTTACTATGCACTCAACACAGAACACTCTGGTCACCAAAATGAGGCGGTAGGGGTGGGGTTTCTCACATTAAACCAGCTGTGTATCACACAATTCAATTCAGCTCTGAATCTAACTGAGTGAGCACAGACTCCACAGGTTAAGAGCCCAATCCCATAAGACTGCCCCTGACCCCAGATGCCAATCACAAGCCCCAGGTTGAGACCATGTACTTCTGACCCACCAGCTATAGATCAGGGGTTCCCACAGCCCCCTCCTTAGGTTTGGTAATTTTCCAGGATGGCTCACAAAACTCAGGGAAACACTTTCCTTATGTTTACTGCTTTATTTTGAAGGATATGATAAAGGACATAGGTGACTAGCCAGACGAAGACATGCACAGGGCATGGTCCAGAAGGCTCCTGGGCACAGGAGCTTCTGTCCCCATGGATTTGGGGTGCACCAGCTTCCCAGCACATGGGTGTTTTCATCAACCTGGAAACTCCCTGAACCCCATTGTTCAGGGATTTTTATGGAGGCTTCATCAAATAGGCAAAATAAAACACCCAATTATTAACTCAATCTTCAGCCCCTTTCCCCTTCCCAGAGGCTGGGGGATATGGCTGAAAATTTCAAGCTTCTAATCATGTGTTGGTCTTTCTGGTTACCAGACCCCATCCAGGAGCCCACCAAGAGTACCCTCAGTAGAAAAAAAAGATTCTCCTATCACCCAGGAAATTACAAGAGTTTTAGGAGCTAAATGCCAGAAACTGGGGGCAGAAACCAAATATATATTTTTTATTATTTCACAGTATGTGCTAGTAAATGTATTGTTACTTTTATTAATAATATTAAAATCAGGTTTTAATTTTTGTGACAGTAAATATCTATTGATATAATTCACTTAAATACAAGCTCTTTGAGGTCTTCAATAATTTTTAAGAATATAAAGGAATTCTGAGACCAAAACATTTGAGAACTGCTGCTCTGAGCGCAGACATTACCCTGTTCCTGGACAGAAGAGGACTTACCAGCTTCCAAAGCGGCCAGACTGTCATCAAGCTGCTGTGACTTTACGGAGATCATTTTTCTTTTTTTGAGAACAAAATTAAACATGTTCTATCCTCAATCATGTGGGCTGCTTAATAACCTTCCTAACATTCGGCATTATTTCTACTTTCTAGCCAGAACATTCTGTCCCTTCACCACAGAATATGAGGATGGGACAGACTTAAGTTTCATTTCTCTTGTGTCTTTCTCTTGATAGATAGAGAAAAAGAGACATACATAAATAGTATTAAGATATATACTGATATTTACATTTAAACTAATCTGAACTATTCCACGAGTCCTTAATAACACTTACTTTTGGGGAAAAAGACCCTGGTTTAGGGACAAGTTTAAAACTTGAACAGTTCATATTATCTAAACACATGCATGCTATGTCATGTATAGTTATGTAGGTGATGAAATTGTGGATGCTTTTGTTTTTAATGTTTAAAAATATATACTTTTAGTTATAGTGAATTAAATGTTTCCAATCTTATAAAATAACCCCAGGGGTCCAATGTGCATTAAAAGTTGCATTAGTCAAAAATTTTCTAATTCTCCTGCCAACTTTTATTTATGCCCTTTGAAGGCAAGGACAGTATTTTTTGTCTCATTTGGAGACTCCACACTTGTCAATGAATGTTAATAAAATTAATGAATATACACACAAATAGCCTTAAGACAGAAATAACCCAAGAAGACTACACCTGTGTAGCCCCATGTCATGCTAATCATTTTAATGCTGTCAGTAAATTATGGGCTCTGGTAGTTTTTATGATAATGAATATCAACACAGCAAAGTAGACAGAGAAAGAACTTCCTTTGATTTATTAATAGTCCCTTTTGCAATTACCATATGTCTCCAATTATAAAGTAATGCATCTTGTGATAGACTTCCAGAATAGAGGAGTGAAGACTCGATGAATGTGTATTTCACGAACGAAACAAACTAACAGCCAAAGAAATACAATTAACCATTTCGGAATGCTGGCCATTAAATAAGCTTCAGAACATAGTGAAAATCATTCATCAAAGAGAAGCTACTAGCCCTCAGTAAGACAACAGTGTCTGTGACATTTTAACTTGAGGCTTTTCTCACTTCTCTCCCTCTCCAGAACAGTAGTGAGGTAGCCAAAACCTAGAGGCATTGCAGACTAAGGACAGCTCTGACCTCTTTGGAGCTTCTTGAAAAGTACTATTCCAAGCTCACAATTAGTATTTTGTCTGAATTTGCAGCTCCCTTGATAATCTATATGTTTCAAGTGTGATGGGTGTTTGATTTGACCTGGAGCTCAGTTCAGCAGAGGTGAAGGACCCACTCACAGGATATTACTGAAACAAGGGTAGCTACTGGAGACATGTCAACTGCCTAAGGCCATGACTTAAATTGGGGCAAACAAAAGCCTGGCTGGGAATCTTAAAACAAATCTTGGAAACCAGATGACCACTGGAAACTTTGACAAGTGCAACATATTCTTAGCTATCTAGGCTACGTGTATGACCAGGGAAATCCTGGGAAAGGAAAAGGCACCACCTCTGGCTGACCTTGAGGCTCTATAACAGCAGGAAGTGACAGCTAATGCTGTCTTGGAAAATGCCTGAAGTCTGAAGGCCTTTGCACACAGACCCCCTTGGCAAAGTTTAGAGAAAACATAGACAAAGCATTTAAGGAAATACGACCAATCATCAACTGACCACTAAATCATATTAACCCCAGTGTGACTTCTAGAAAGCAAGTCTTATTTTTTTAAAGAAATTTTAAAATAAAAGATAGTGAAAAACTCACTGGTCCCACACTGCAAGAAATATAGAATCTATGAAATTAGTCCAGGAAGTCACTAAACAAATAGGTAGCAACAAAAAAAACAACAAAATGAAACTAAACTAAACTAAACTAAAAGCAGCTACAAAAAACCATGAAGGAGCGGAAAAATCTGATACACAGTCTTTAAGTTGTTATAACACAATTGTTAAATTGTTGTAATATCCAAAATTCCCAGTCTTCAAAACATATATGAGACATGCAAAAAAACAGGGAAGTATTCTAACTATGTGGAAAAATGTAACAAACAGAAAATATCCCGAAGGGCACCTAGAGTTTAGACTTAGTGTACAAAGACTTAAAGTAAGCTATTACAAATATTTCCAAATAACTAAAGGAAATCATATTTAAAGAAAAAAGGTAAAATACGAAAGTAATGCCTCACCAAACAGAGGCATTACTTTACATCAATAAAGAGACAGAAATTATAACATGGAACCAAATAGAAATTCTGTAGCTAAAAAGTGCAATATCTCAAATATAAAATTCACTAGAGAGGTTCAATAGCAAAACAGAGCAGGCAGAAGAAGAAACAGCAAACTTGAAGAAAAGTCAAATGAGGTTATCCAGACTGAGGAGCAGAAAGAAAAAATAATGAAGAAAAATGGACAGATCCTAAGAGGCCTGCAGGACACCAGCAAGCACACAGACATATGAATAATGAGGGTTCCAGGAGAAGAGAGAAAGGATAAACACTTGAAGAAATAATGGTTGAAATCTTCCCAAATTTTATGAAAAATATTAATCTACCTATTCAAGAAGCTCAACAAACTACAAGGAAAATAAACTCGAAGAGACCTATGCCTATTCATACCATAGTCATATTGACAAAATTGACCGAAGGCACAGAAAGACTCTTGAAAGCAGCAAGAGAAGAGAGACCAGCCATGGACAAGGGATCTCAACCGGACAGCCAATTCTCATAGAAGCCATGGAGTTCAGAAGGCAACGGGATGACATCTTCAAAGTGTTGTAATAAAAAGACTATCAGCTAGGAATTCTACATCCAGATAAACTATCTTTTAAAAATGAAGAAATTAAGCCATTTCCAGATAAATAAAAAATGAGAGAATGTGTTATTATCACATACTAAATGGCAGCCTTTAAGCTAAAATGAAAGCCCAAACGGCAGTTCAAATACACACATAAAAATAATGAGCACTGGTAACAATAACTATACAGTTTATTATGAAAGACAGCATAAGCATAACTCTTCTTCTCCTTTTTTAAAAGACAACAGCATAAGGTAGTATTATAAAACTGTATTGAAGACTTTATTAAGATGTCATTTATGACAATAATAACACAAAGCACAAAAGATGAGACAGACATACATTGAAGCAAACTTTCTGTATACCCTTGTAATTATTATTAACTTAAGCTACTAACCAAATTATATTGAGTCTAACTATAATTCCAAAAGTGACCACAAAGTAAATAACTCAAACAATACAATAAAAGAAGCAACCAGGAAATTTAAAATGTATGCTAGAAAATATTTAGCACAAAAGAAGGTAGGAATCAAGGAACAAAAAGACATAGAATATAAAAAACAAAGAGCAAATGGCAAAATTAAATTCTACCTTATCAGTAACATCATTCAATGTTAATAAATTAAACATTCTAAACAAAAGAAAGAGATTGGCAGTATAGATTTTTTTTTTTTTTCTTTTTTGAGACGGAGTCTCGCTCTGTCGCCCAGGCTGGAGTGCAGTGGCACGATCTCGGCTCACTGCAAGCTCCGCCTCCCGGGTTCACGCCATTCTCCTGCCTCAGCCTCCTGAGTAGCTGGGACTACAGGCGCCCGCCACTACCCCCGGCTAATTTTTTGTATTTTTTTTTCAGTAGAGACGGGGTTTCACCATGTTGGCCAGGATGGCCTCTATCTCCTGACCTCGTTATCTGCCCGCCTCGCCCTCCCAAAGTGCTGGGATTACAGGCGTGAGCCACCACGCCCGGCTGGCAGTATAGATTTTTTAAAGGCTCTTAAAATATGCTATCTAAAAGAAAAATACTTTAGATTTAAAGACACGAGTAGATTAAAAATAAAAGGATGGAAAAAGATGAGCCATAGAAGCCAACAGTCAAAATAAAGCTAGAGTGACTTTACTAATAGATTTTAAGACAAAAATTCTCACTAGAGATGAAAAAGGTCATTATGTGCTAAATGTGTCAATCCATCAGAGGATATAATCATTATAAACAAACGTACACCTAAAAACTGAATACTCAGAATAAGAATACTCTTATTCAGAGTAAGAGGCAAGGGGAAAACTCCCTCCCCTTATATGGAGAATAATTGAATCTTTTTCTATTATATCCTTTCTGTGTAACATTAGAAATTGAAATTTTTTTCCAATTTCTAAATTTCAATACTTATTGGTATAATACAGAATTTTGGACCACTATTAATATGTTTACATTATATAAACCTTCTATTTCCAAAAATATTTTGAAAAAATATTTTAACTCTTAATACTTAGTTTTAGTACTGAACTTCAATAATTATATTTTCTGCAGTATTCAATTTGCTATGCATTCACTGCTTCGCTCATTTTTTAGGATCTCAATCCATCTTTCCTAATCTCATCTTCTAATTTTTGAATTCTAATTTTCACTCCTAATTCTAACTTTTAAATTCTTTTTTTTTAACTAGGATTTTTAACTTGAAGTACTCTAAAAATTTCTATAGTTTCTTTTAGTAAATCAATGTTTCTGGAAACATCTCCTCTAATACTAAAGTGCATTTTTATCGGTTCTGTGGCTTTTCTCTTTGGGTTCCTTCCTAGAGATGCGGTTCCATGGTTATGACCAAGGGGGAGATAAAGAGTTAGCGGGCAGGCGCAGTGGCTCACACCTGTAATCCCAGCACTTTGAGAGGCCAAGATGGGTGGATCACCTGAGGTCAGGAGTTCGAGACTAGCCTGACTAACATGGTGAAACCCCGTCTCTACTAAAAATACAAAAATTAGCCATACAAAAATTAGCCGGGCGTGGTGGCACATGCCTATAATCCCAGTTACTTGGGAAGCTGAGGCAGGAGAATCACTTGAACCCAGGAGGTGGAGGTTGCAGTGAGCTGAGACAGCATCATTGCACTTCAGCCTAGGCAACAAGAGCAAAACTCCATCAAAAAAAAAAAAAAAAAGTTATCAATTGGCAAGAGGCCCTGCCAAGCCCAGATGGACAAGAAGCTGACACTCCCATCCCCTGTTAGATAGGCTTCTACTCCAGAGGGCTCTTTCATCTAACCTTCCTGTTTGCCCTTCTCCCTGCACTAGCACTGAGGAGGTATTAGAGATACCATGGAAACATCACCACTGTTTTCCTTGTAAAAGGCTCTGTTGTAGATGAGAAGTTGTCAGCCTTCAGTCACCCTCCATGTGCTCTCGATCAGCTGAAATTACTTAGTTCAGAGCAGCCTGTGGTTGTTACCTTTTTGTACAGAATTTTCCCCCTTTCCCTAAAAATCTGTTTCATATGAATTATATGTCTGAGGAAATAAGAAGAGATTCTATACTATTCCCCAACTTTGGGATGGGATTAGCATAAATAGGAAAAAATTGCAGGGTAACAGAGGAGTAGGATCAGAACCCAGGAGCCCTGGCTGAGGCATTACTTTACAATGTGAACCCAAGGGAGTCAATTTCCTTCTCCAGATTTTCATTTTGAATGTGAATTCATTTTCCAGATTTTCATTCATCTCCTATTTGACAAGTTCAAAATGAAAATTGAGGAAAAAAGTGCTCCAGGTTTTTATTCACACAGATCTAAGTAGTTCAGATAGAATGAACCAACAACTGAACAAAAATTTTTTCAAGTGCTTTCCCTCATCTCATTTACTCCAGCCTCTAGGGGAGACTTCAGTCAGTTGTTGGTTTGTTCTATCTGAACTAGATAGATCCGTGTGAATAAAAACCCAGAGCACTTTTTTCCTAGTTCATATGTCCTTATATGCCTCTGTGGCACCAATAGACGCCTCAGGCCAGGCCTTTGTTTCTAGCCTGTCACATAATCAAGCTCGTTATGAGTTGCTGTTTGGACTTCACTACATATTTTCCAAAGTCTTTGAAGCCGTGAGTTCATTCATTTGGAGTTGCATCTCCAATTAAACTTTCAAAAGAGTCTCCTGAAAAAAGCATCCATGTATAATTGGAATTGAGCATTACTCGAAAGAGAATTCCAAGAAAGCCAACTCAAGGGAAACACATTTTTATGCTCCACATATGGGCTTAAATTAAAGGACATGTTTCATTTTCTAAACCAATGGAAACCATATTTTGGTTTTAGGGATACAACAATGGCTTTTCACAGGCTTACACAGTTGGATAATTTCAGACAGTTGTGACAGGAGAAAACAATTTGTAATAGAAATTCAAGTTATAGCTGTAAATCATGACATTAAAGCAGAAGTAAAACTATTTTAAATTACATTTTAAGCAAAACGTATGGTCTAAAGTGATATTAAAGTGGCTAAAGGAATAGACAGTTGTCTCAGGAGAGCTGGGTCCCCTGGACAGCTTGTGAATGAGGATGTGGGCACATTTCTCAGCCCCTGCAGGCATTGATGTCCACGGGGTAGGAGCAAGATTTTCCTAAAGATGTCATAGATACATTTTAAGGATCACATAGATAATATGTAAGTGAACATGTTTTGTTTTCCCTGTAGAAGGAACCAGGAGCTGCAGGCTTATCTCTTGTCTGGTCTCTGCCCAGGTTGCCTCTATAACAATTTCCTTACCTGTGAATGGGGCATTGAATGAAACCATCCTTGAGCTCTTCCCACTTGAAAATCTGTGAGTGTAAGTCTAATCCAGGACAAAAGTCTCTTCCCCTCATTCTAAGATGAAGATATGAGTGAACAATTTTAAATTTGATTTTTATACATACAATTAGTGTCAAAGTAGCCATTTGCACTCTTAAGTACATCACCCCAGCCCAAGGCCAAGGAAAAGAAAGAGTTCTAGGCCTGGCAGCTCCAGCAGCCAATGTCACAGTTCACATTTCCAAATGATGCCAGTAAAAGCTGGAAATCCCCACAGAAATTATGGGGTTCAATTCTTTCACTTTGCAGATGAGGAAGCTAAGATACTAAACGCAGCAGAGATTTGCTGGAATTCACGTAGATGGTATGTGGGATAGCCGGGTCGGCCCCGAGGATTTAAGATGCCAAATCCACCTACCACAGCCACCTCCCCTGGTACAGTTGCCTGAATAGCCCCATAGAGCGGGATGCAGGTCTGGTCCATATCTCCAAGCAGAAAACCCTTATTCATAATGGCAAATCTGAGAGGTTCCAGGCTAGCCCTGGAGAGAAAGAGACTTGACTCCTTCCAGACATTCATACCCTCCTGACTCAGTCCAACCCAGCATCTAGGCTCAGCTTAGAAGGCACTTTATCCAAGAAGATTCCTTGGCCCTAAATCTGAGATGGGTGAACTTTCATTGTGCATCAAGAATTCTTCAGTTTTCTGTATGTCACTCAATACATAGGTGATAATGTATCTTTTTTTTTTTTAACTTGTTAGCACTAGCCACTAGAGTGAATGCAAGCTCCTAGGTGGAATGGACAAGACAACTTTTATCTCCTTGCACCACCTGCACTTACACAGTTAGGTAAACACAATTTAAAGGATAACTTACTTTAAGATGTATCCTGAAGGACACAGGCAGGGGTTGGGGTGCTGGTAGAGTAGTTAGAAATGTGCTTTAGAAACACAGTTTCTAAATACCCATGTTGGGAGGCGGAGAGCCAGGAAGGGCTTTGTTCTTAGAGCCATGGACTATTCCCGGAAGCCACGCTGTCACTGCCTCACTACATTTTGGTCACCCTTTCATATTCTGACATTTTGCTGAGAACCTCTCCATGCCCCCAAACCTTCAATCTCTGATAGGAATTGAGTTTATGAAACTAATTCTCAAGAAATGCATTTTGGAAAAATAGTTTGATTCACTGATTGCTTTTGGCCTCTGAGGAGCTACAGCAGGCTGAGACTGTGCATTAGTGTCCTTCTCTTTACAGGGCTGGATTCATCTTGACATTTTCAACGATTACATGAATATGTTTCCAACCACTTCTTGACAAGAAATAAGCTGCACCATCTACTCATCCAAGAAACGCTTTCTGAGCACCTGGCTGCCACACGGCAGCACTGTAAAAGTGATCTGGAAAAAGTAAATGCCAATAATGATCTTCTTAGAGCAATCCTTAGACAGGGGTCTGACCTAGCTTCAGACGTGAACTGTTCCAGACCTCGGACAGTCAGCCCACACTCGTGACAGCAAAGATCAGCGGTTCCAGGTCCCCGTCTCTCACTGAGGCTCCACTGTTTCTTTAAAGTCAATTCAAAAGCATGAGCGGTTTTTCCTTTGCATTTCAGTTACCCTGGTGATCCATATGTTGTGCTGCACTTTAGTGTATGGAAATTTCATTGCTAATGAACCTGGAAACAGAAACAATGGAGACAGGCCAAGCACCAGTCGGAGCTACTGCCCAGGCATTTGTAGAAGCACATGGAATAAATTCAGAAAAGGGAGTCATGGAGTTTACGTTGCGTTACTTCCTGAAAGAACTGCAAGACTGGCTCCCTGGATGGGCGGCTCTGGAGAGACCCCAGATGCCACGTGCACTAAGTGTAGAACCTGCTTCTCCAGGTGTGATTCTGACTCCTAAAGATAAATAATGGCTGCTGCAACTTAGAGATACAGACTCAGAAGAATGAAGCCTCGAGAATGATTTTTGGCATGCTTTTTTGGCAGCTTGAAACCAACATTACTACAGAAGAAATTTCCAGAAAAAAACAATAAAGCATAATCAAACTGGATGGTTTGGAGTGCTCTCCAGTGAAAAATTGTAGCACTTAGGGCTTCAGCTGACAAAGGCAGTATAAAATGCGGCTGCTATTAGTAGCAGGTAGGACCTCATGAAAGCAAGATTGTGATTTTGTTTGTTTCCTTGTTGCACCAGGGAAAACTCAGGAATATCCATTATTAGTGAAAAATCATTTTGACACTGCATTTCAATTGGCTTTGAAGTCAATTAAATTTCTTAGACCAAAGTGATCAACTGATCTCGTAAATTGTGTGCATGAACGTGTGTGTATAATCCATCGAATCAATCAAAGACACAAAATTATCTGTCGCATGGGAAATGGGCCTTCACTGACAGCAGGCATAATGGTGACACAGACAGTTCAACTGTCCTTTTCTTTGGTCTTTGAGCTGGTTGATAGCCAGTGGAGAGGCAGCCACTCCAGTAACAAGAGAAGAACATTGCATTGCAAGGCCAGGACAGCGTTGCCAGCTCTCCCCTACTCTTTCCTCTATCTGCAAAAGGGCTTTGCTCAATTGCAACCAGAGACTTTATAAACTAAACTTTATAAACTATAAATAAATTGTATTTGGCATAGTATTTTATAACCAGGTAAAATCTTACTTATGCAAGTTTTATTCATTTATTCATTCATCCCATCATCATCTAAAGAAAACTTCCTCTGAGCCACTGCTGTACTAGAGGCTGAGGAAAAGACAACAAAACATGGGTCCTTACTCTGCTTCAACAAATGTTTTATTTAAAAAACCCCTAATGTGATATCTGTCCATGCGTGTATATGTATACATATATGCAATATCTCCATATCTATATATAGCTACACACACATACACATACACGCCACACCTGAGAATAAAAATTTCACTCTTATTCTACTGTTTCAGATATTCCCCTATCCTACCTAGACTCCCCATGGGATTCTGCTCTGTTGATGAAGTTCTTTGGTGAAACAGTTTGAGAATCGACATCCACAATCTGGTCATTGAGAGCACTTTTCTGCTCAGCAAAGCACATCTTGCAGGACCTCTGGTCAACATATTCAAACAGAAATGATCTTCTTTTCACTAATAACAAACCAGATCTACTATTTCCACAAGAAGTATTTTTCCCACTTTAAAAGCATCTGATCTGTTTGATAGGAGTGTGGGGTTTTCAGTTTAATGGAGTTGCATCAAATAACCTAAGGGCATGAAGGTTTTACTTATTTTATTAATAACCAACTAATGGTGTCAAGCTTTTATTGTAGCAGATGTTTATAAAGTCCAAAGAGGTGTGGTTCAAAAGCAACTCATGACAATCTATTAGAACTTTTCTCACGCATTATTATTCAAACTTATGATTATAATAAAATAACTGAGTAATTTTAACAAATAGCCAGATGGTTTTTTAAAATTATTCTATATAGACTGAGAAATGCCTTTTGAAGCATTTTTGCAAAAGGAACAAAATCTTACATATTGCCAAAGTAGCAAAATTAAAACAGAAAACAAAAAGAAAGTAAGTTTGTGATGCAGATTTGTGATAAATGTTTGATGTAGAAAAGCTCTCACAAATCAAGAAGGGAAAGATAACTGTCCTAGTAGAATCATAGGCAAAGTGTAGAAATAGGCTGTCCACATGGCCAGCACACATAGGAGAAATTGAGGCCCACTTATTATAAAATATGCACATAAAAATGAGATCTTTTTTATTTAGCTAAGCAAATTGGTATAGAGTGAAAAAGGAATAAAGTCCAACATGTATGAAAATAAAAATGCATTCTCAGATACTATTTGTTTAAAGGGACACAAATTGGCACAGGCTTTCTGGGTGGACATCTGTTAATGCTGCATCTGGAACCTTAAATTCAAGTGTATTTTTTCATTGCAAATCTACATTTTTGGAAGTTTTCCTAAAGATATAATTAGAAGTGTTCACAAAAGTGAAGCAGTACACTTAGGCAAAAATTTACTATTTATAATTTTAATAGAAAAAAATGATAACATAAATTTTCCAAATGAAAAAACAATGTTAAATAAATTATGATATGGTAAGTGTCAAAGTAGCAGATACACACCCTCAGTCTATGAATGCATACACAAGAATATGCATACAAATCAGGAGGTGCATGAATCCTCGAGTGTCTGTTCAGTACCAAAATCCCAAAAATATTTATCGATTTTTAAAGAAGTGTATAATTGTTGCAAGCAAGTCCCCCAAAGTCTGGCCATAAACTGGCCCCAAAACTGGCCATAAATAAAATCTCTGCAGCAATGTAACATGTCCATAATGGCCCTAACGCCCAAGCTGGAAGGTTGTGGGTTTACAGGAATGAGGGCAAGGAACACCTGGCCCGCCCAGGGCAGAAAACCACTTAAAGGCATTCTTAAGCCACAAACAATAGCATGAGCGATCTGTGTCTTAAGGGCATGTTCCTGCTGCAATTAATTTGGCCCATCCCTTCATTCCCCATAAGGGACACTTTTAGTTAATTTAATATCTATAGAAACAATGCTAATGACTGGCTTGCTGTTAATAAATACGTGGGTAAATCTCTGTTTGGGGCTCTCAGCTCTGAAGGCTGTGAGACCCCTGATTTCCCACTTCACACCTCTATATTTCTGTGTGTGTGTCTTTAATTCCTCTAGCACCGCTGGGTTAGGGTCTCCCCGACTGAGCTGGTCTCGGCAAGCGGCGTCCATTCTGAGGGGCTCAAATCCAGGTCAAAGGGTCACCGGAGCGACAGCTGGAATGGAAAACTAGCTGGAGGACACCCGAGTACTCTTAAAGCAATCCCTGTGGTGAGTAAGAAGGGGAGCTTGGAAGTGTCAGGGTAACAATGGGACAGGTATGGGGTCTGGTTCGGTCCACCTTGGAACTTTTTCACACTGATGAGGAGGAAGAACAAGAGCATAGCAAAGTAACAGAAGAACAGAAGAGGTTACAGAGCATGTTTATTTGCCAGCTAAAGCTAAAGTGACAAAGGAAGGAGAGGTTCATCCCTACCCTTCTGCACCCCCTCATCATTATTTTGAAGAAAATGACCCACCAGATCTTTCTTTCCTGGAGGACACTGGGCGAAAAGTAGTTGCCCCAGTGACTTTTCGAGCAGCACCTTGAGCGACGGCTCTTGGTTCTATTCAGGCAGGAATTCAGCAAGCTAGACGAGAGGGTGATTTAGAGGCTTGGCAGTTCCCTGTTAGAATACACCCCCCAGATCAACAGGGAAATATTACAGCTACATTTGAGCCTTTTCCTTTTAAATTACTCAAAGAATTAAAACAAGCAATAAGTCAGTATGGACCAGATTCTCCTTTTGTAATGAGACTGTTAAAGAATGTTACTGTTCCAGTCAGATGATTCCTACTGACTGGGACACTCTTACTCGAGTTTGTCTAACTCCTGCTCAGTTCTTACAATTTAAAACTTTGTGGGCAGATGAAGCTTCCATTCAGGCTGCTTGCAATGCCCAGGCCCAACCTCAAATTAATATAACTGCAGACCAACTTTTGGGGGTTGGTGGCCGGGCTGGTTTAGACGCACAACTGGTCATGCAGGATGATGCCATAGAACAGCTTAGAGGAGTGTGCATTAGAGCTTGGGGAAAAAATCACTTCAGATGGAGAACAATACCCTTTCTTTAGTGCTATAAAACAGGGACCAAGGGAACCATATGTTGATTTTACAGCTCGGTTACAGGAGTCTCTTAAAAGGATGATTGCAGATTCGGCTGCTCAGGATATAGTGTTGCAGTTATTAGCTTTCGACAATGCTAATCCCGATTGCCAGGCTGCTCTGCAACCTATCAGAGGGAAAGCACATTTGGTTGATTATATCAAGGCCTGTGATGGTATCGGAGGTAATCTGCATAAAGCTACCTTGTTGGCACAGGCATTGGCAGGACTGAGAGTGGATAAAGGAAATATTCCATTTCCTGGAGCTTGTTTTAACTGTGGGAAGCATGGTCATACTAAAAAAGAATGTAGAAAAAAATCAGTGAGTCGGACCACCAGATAGGGGAAAAAAGAAAACTGTTGAGCCTGAAATATGTCCAATATGTAAAAAAGGAAAACACTGGACTAGTCAGTGTCACTCTAAGTTTGATAAAGAAGGGAACCCGATTTCAGGAAATGCCATGAGGGGCCTGTCCCAGGCCCCGTTCTAAACCGGGGCATTTCTGGCTCAGGCCATTCCCTCACCCCCGTACAATGTCTGTCCCCTGCCACAGCCGGTAGTGCCACAGTAGATTTATGCTGCACAAAAGCTGTGAGTCTTCTGCCTAGGGAACCCCTGCCAAAGGTCCCAACAGGAGTCTGTGGACCGTTACCAGCAGGGACAATAGGATTACTTTTAGGAAGGTCTAGTGTAAGTTTAAAAGGCGTACAAATACATATAGGAGTCATTGATTCAGATTACAATGGGGAAATTCAAATTGTTATATCTACTTCTGTTCCCTGGAAAGCAGAGCCAGGAGAGCACATAGCACAGCTCCTGATTGTGCTGTATGTGGGAATGGGGAAAAGTGAAATTAAACGAACAGGAGGATTTGGAAGCACAAATAAACAAGGCAAAGCAGCTTATTGGGTAAATCAAATTACTGATAAACATCTATCTGTGAAATAACTATTCAAGGAAATAAATTTAAAGGTTTGGTAGATACAGGAGCAGACATTTCAATCATTTCTCTACAGCACTGGCCGTCCACGTCGCCAATTCAACCCGCTCAATTTAATATAGTTGGAGTTGGTAAAGCCGCTGAAGTATATCAAATTAGTTATATTTTGCATTGTGAAGGGCCCAATGGACAACCTGGGACTATTCAACCAATTCTAACTTCTGTACCTATAAATGTATGGGGAAGAGATCTATTACAACAATGGGGAGCACAAGTTCTAATTCCAGAACTATTACATAGCCCTCAAAGTCAACATACAATGCATGAAATGGGGTATGTCCCTGGTATGGGACTAGAAAAAAATTTGCAAAGTTTGAAAGAACTGCTTCAAGTGGAAAAACAAAGTTCCCGCCAAAGATTAGGAAAAAATTTTTGATGGCGGCCATTGTTAAGCCTCCAGAACCTGTACCTTTAAAATGGTTAACAGATAAGCCAATTTAGATAGAACAATGGCCACTAAGTAAAGAAAAACTGGAGGATTTAGAGAAATTAGTTGCTGAACAATTAGAAAATGGGCACATAGCTCCAACATTTTCTCCTTGGGATTATCCAGTTTTCCTAACTAAGAAAAAATCAAGTAAATGGAGAATGTTAACTGACTTAAGAGCCATCAATTCAGTTATACAACCTATGGGAGCATTACAGCCAGGATTGCCTTCTCCCGCTATAATTCCAAAAAATTGGCCTTTAATAGTTATAGATTTAAAAGACTGTTTCTTTACTATCCATTTAGCTGAGCAAGACTGCAAACGATTTGCATTTACAATTCCTGCAGTAAACAACCTGCAGCCTGCTAAGCGTTATCATTGCAAAGTGTTGCCACAGGGCGTGTTAAACAGTCCGACTATTTGCCAGAAGTATGTGGGGCAAGCAATTGAATCTACTCGTAAAAAATTTTCACAGTGTTACATTATTCACTATATGGATGATATAGTTTGTGCAGCCCCCACTTGAGAAATATTACTCCAATGTTATGATCACTTGCAAAATTCTATTTCTCATGCTGGTTTAATTATAGCTCCTGACAAAATTCAGACTACTACTCCTTACTCCTACTTGGGGACCTTAGTAAATGACATTACCATTGTGCCACAGAAAGTAACCATACATAGGGATAAATTAAAAACATTAAATGATTTTCAGAAATTACTAGGGGATATTAATTGGATAAGACCTGCTCTAGGCATTCCTACCTATGCCATGAGTAATCTGTTTTCTATCCTTAGAGGAAATCCTAGTCTCACTAGCCCTCGGCAATTAACAAAAGAGGCTGAGGCAGAGTTACAAGTGATTGAGAAGAAATCCATAAAGCTCAGATAAATAGAATAGATCCAGAGAAGACTCTAGGTTTGCTAATCTTTTCAACTCAGCATTCACCTACTGGTGTTATTGTCCAAGAACAGGACTTAGTAGAGTGGCTTTTTCTTCCACATACTAATTCACGGACTCTAACTCCTTATTTAGATCAAATCGCTACTATGATAGGGATTGGGAGAATTTGGATTGTTAAATTACATGGATATGATCCTGGAAAAATTATTGTCCCTCTCACGAAAGCACAAATACAGCAAGCTTTTACAAATAGTCTTACTTGGCAAACCCATTTAGCTGACTTTGTGAGTATTCTCGATAATCATTTTCCTAAAACGAAGCTGTTTCAGTTTTTGAAATTAACTAATTGGATTCTCCCTAAAATAACTAAATTTAAACCAATTGAAGGTGCTGAGAATGTTTTTACAGATGAGTCTAGTAATGGTAAAGCTTCTTATTCTGGCTCAAAAAGTAAAGTTTTTCAGATGTCCTATACTTCAGCTCAAAAAGCAGAGCTTGTAGCAGTAATTGAGGTATTGACTGCTTTTGATATGCCTATTAATGTGATTTCTGATTATTCATACATGGTTCACTCCACACAGTTAATTGAAAATGGTCAGTTACAATTTCATACAGATAAACAACTGATGACTTTATTTACCCAACTGCAAACAGCAGTTAGAAGTAGAATGCACCCTTTTTACATCACTCACATTAGGGCTCATACACCTCTTCCAGGACCTTTGACTGAAGAAAATCAAATGGCTGATCACCTAGTTGCTACCTCAATATCTAATGCTAGACCCTTTCACAATTTAACCCATGTTAATGCCTCTGGTCTCAAACGCAGATACAGCATTACCTGGAAAGAAGCTAAAGATACTATCCAGTGATGCCCAACTTGCCAAATAGTACATTCCTCATCTTTTACAGGAGGAGTTAATCCTCGAGGACTGGAACCTAACTCTATTTGGCAAATGGATGTCACACATGTTCCCTCATTTGGGAGACTAGCTTATGTACATGTATGTGTGGACATCTTTTCTCACTTTGTCTGGGCTGCATGCCAAACAGGAGTCTTCTGCCCGTGTTAAATGTCATCTTTTGCAGTGCTTTGCGGTGATGGGCATTCCAGCTTCTATTAAAACAGATAATGCCCCAGGCTGTACTAGCCAAGCTCTAGCTACATTTTTCTCTATGTGGAATATTAAACACATTACTGGTATCCCATACAATTCTCAGGTACAAGCCATAGTGGAAAGAATGAATCTCTCCCTCAAACAGCAGTTGCAAAAGCAGAAAGGGAGAAACAATAATGGAACCCCACAGATGCAACTGAATCTAGCATTATTAACTTTAAATTTTTTGAGGCTGCCCAAAGGCCAGATGTTATCAGCAGCTGAACAGCATCTACAGAAACCAGCTGCAAAGACAGAAACAGAACAACTGATTTGGTGGAGAGATCCAATAACAAAAAGTTGGGAAATAGGTAAAATAATAACTTGGGGTAGAGGTTATGCTTGTGTTTCTCCAGGCCAAAATCAACAGCCGATTTGGATACTATCAAGACACCTGAAACCTTGTCATGAGCCAGATGCCGAGAAAGAAACTCCGGGAGGATCTCGAGGACCTCCTGGTTGCAGCCATGTTGAGGCTGACACTGAGGAGGACCCCAACTGTCACGAGCAACACCCGTCGAACACAGCCACCCACCTGGGGACAGATCAAGAAGCTGTCACAGATGGCAGAAGAAAACCTAAGGAAAGCGGGACAACCAGTCACAATGAATAATTTAATGGTAGCTATGATAGCGGTTATCACCACTGCCGTGAGTATTCCTTCAATAAGGGATGGTAATAATACCTGGATGCAATCACTCTATGACACAGTTACACATGCTTTCTGATCTCAGTATTTACCGTAATAAATCTGCTCCTATAATTGAGGGATACCGCCCTCAAAAACCTATTTGTAAACAGGATTGGACCCAGTTAGAAAAAATGAACATACTTGTTTAGGAAGATTGCTTTGCAGAACAGGCAGAGGTGCTGCACAACGATTCCTATGGAATCATTATTAATTGGTCCCCTAAGGGGGTGTTTAGCTTGAATTGCACCTCTGAGTCTGCGTGCCAAGGCCACACTATGTTCAGATGATCTGAACAAAACAGTCAGATGGTAGAAATGATAAGAAGTATGGCAAAAGTTCCTATTATCTGGAACCATGGTGCTATAGTGGCACCTCAACCTCAAATGATATGGCCCGCTCTAGGAGCTGAACATAAGGATTTGTGGAAACTATTAAATGCTCTTAATAAGATCAAAATTTGGGAAAGAATAAAAAAGCATCTAGAAGGACACTCTACAAACTTGTTTTAGAATATAGCAAAATTTAAAAAACAAATATTTAAAGCATCCCAGGCACACCTGACCTTAATGCCAAGACCTGGAGTGTTTAAAGGAGCTGCAGACAAATTAGCATCTAGTAACCCATTTAAATGGATAAAAACACTTGGAAGCTCTGTGATTTCAATGATGACTGTGTTTTTAATCCATGTTGTTTGTCTGTATAGTCTGCAGATGAGGATCCTGATTCCTGCGAGAAGTAGCTCACTGTGACAAAGCTGCCCTTGCTTTTATCTCTTTGCAAATCAAAGAAGGGAGACATGTTGGGAGCAAGCTCCCGAAAGTCTGGCCATAAACTGGCCCCAAAACTGGCCATAAATAAAATCTCTGCAGCAATGTAACATGTCCATAATGGCCGTAACGCCCAAGCTGGAAGGTTGTGGATTTACAGGAATGAGGGCAAGGAACACCTGGCCCACCCAGGGCGGAAAACCACTTAAAGGCATTCTTAAGCCACAAACAATTAGCATGAGTGATCTGTGTCTTATGGGTGTTTTCCTGCTGCAATTAATTTGGCCCATCCCTTCGTTTCCCGTAAGGGATACTTTTAGTTAATTTAATATCTATAGAAACAATGCTAATGACTGGTTTGCTGTTAATCAATATGTGGGTAAATCTCTGTTTGGGGCTCTCAGCTCTGAAGGCTGTGAGACCCATGATTTCCCACTTCACACTTCTATATTTCTGTGTATGCGTCTTTAATTCCTCTAGCGCCACTGGGTTAGGGTCTCCCCGACCGAGCTGGTCTCAGCATATAATATATTGCTAAATAAAAAATAAAATCAAGCTAAAAAAGAATATGTTGGCATGATACAAGTTCAAAAATACCTATATCTATATAAGTGTGTGCAGCAAATTTCAGTGGCAGATTCCTAAGACCCCAGCTCAAGCTGTTGTATAAAATAGAGACTCTTAGGGCATTAATCGCAAGTCCAGAGGGCATGAGCGGTTTGAAAACTACTGGTCCAGGAACTTAGAGATTTTTAAAGAGTCAGGTTTTGGTGACTTCCAGCCTTGCTCCACACAATGTCAGACTCACCACTACATACCAAACAAGTTGTAGAATTCCCAGTATTGTTTTTATTCCTTCACGTGCAGAGGGAAAAGTGAGCATGCCTTTAGTCAACACCTGCCAGGTGCAAGCTAAGTAGCTAAGTCACTTGCCCAGCCAAGAACCGTAGACTCAGGGAAAGCCACGCTCTGCTAAGCATTTGCCTGGTCCTTAAGCTTCCCACTGGCATGGGATGGCATTATGGGTTGAAATGTGTCCCCTCAAAGTTGCAGTGAAGTCCTAACCCCCAGTGTGACCTTATTTAGAAATAGATTGTTGTGGATGTAATTAGTTAAGAAAAAAATCATGAATGTAGGCACTAATCTATTGTGACCGTGTCCTTATGAAATGGAAAAACCTGGACCCAGGCACACTTAAAGGAAGACAATGAGAAGAGACACCGGGATAAGATGGCCATCTACAAGCCAAGAAGAGAAGCCTGGAACAGATCCTTCCCTCAGTCTCACAAGAAACCAGTTCTGCCAACATCTTGATCTCAGACTTCCGGCCTCCACAACTGGGAAAGAATACATATTTCTTCTGAAGCCGTTCCGTCTGCGGTAGTTTGTTCTGGCAGCCCCAAGAAATGAATGCAGCTGGGATCACCGTGATTACCTGAGGTCAGACGATGTGCTCCAAGTTGTGCATGCATGGGCATCACCTCACGAGTTTGACAGAGTGCAGATTGCTGGGTCGCACCCCCAAAGTGTCAGATTCCTAGTGAAGGGGGAGGTGGAGAACCTGCATTTCTAACAAGTTCCCTGTTGGTGCTGCTGCTGCTGCCTCCAATTCATTGCAGCCTGTCCCAGGAGTGGAGTCAATCCCAGAGGATGGGTGTGTCAAGAGCAACATCACCCAGCCTGGTGTGGATGACAGGCACAGATATGGCTATAAACACCGCTTAACAGAGGCAGGCAGGTTGCTGTTATTTGGAGGCTTTCCCATTTTGTGCACATGTTCTTTTTTTCCTCCATGTTTAATATACAGTTTTCAATTTAAAAATTAAACTAATTTAACAAAAAGGGCATAATTTTTAAAGAAATTAAGTAAACTCTTCAAACTAAATCAATATGAGAAAATTAAGAGACTAATGATAGGCTAGACTTACCTCTCCTTTCCCAGTGTCTCCTTTAGCAGGGAAGCCAAGGGGCATGGTATCTTCATTTTCTAATCTCTCTCAATGAACAATGAATTCAGTGTGGTGGAATTCATTGGGGTGGCACCGCTGTAAATCTTGTTAGAGATTTCCAGTAATGCCAGGCTGAATGATTTGAACCAACTTTTTCACGGAACTAAAATAGAGAAGATAAACAGTTTTTGTTTATTTTGGGGATTTTTGTCGATTTAACATATTCAAGGAAATAAATAAAACATAAGATAAAGAAAGTTTGCCAAGAACAGAAACTTATAAAAAGAACTTAGGAGCATTCAGCGTCATTCACAGTTTAAAAGGGTTCCCTTGGCCAGGTGCGGTGGCTCTCGCCTGTAATCCCAGCACTTTGGGAGGCTGAGGAGGGTGGATCACCTGAGGTCGGGAGTTTGAGACCAGCCTGACCAACATGGAGAAACCCCGTCTCTACTTAAAATACAAAATTACCCGGGTGTGGTGGCACATTCCTGTAATCCCAGCTACTTGGGAGGCTGAGGCAGGAGAATCACTTGAACCTGGGAGGCAGAGGTTGCAGTGAGCCGAGATCACGCCATTGCACTCCAGCCTGGGCAACAAGAGTGAAACTCTGTCTAAAAAAAAAAAATAAAAAAAAGATTACCTTATACATCCTGAGTCTCCAATCCCAGGAGGTTTAGGGTACTGGACTGGAAAGTAAGGGAAACTGAAATGAGAAGAGAATCTCAGGCTGTGTACGATGGCTCACGCCTGTTATCCCAGCACTTTGGGAGGCTGAGGTGGGTAGACCACAAGGTCAGGAGTCCGAGACCAGCCTGGCCAAGATGGTGAAACCCCATCTCTACTAAAAATACAAAAATTAGCCAGGCACAGTGGCAGGCACCTGCAATCGCAGCTACCCGGGAGGCTGAGGCAAGAGAATCGCTTGAACCCGGGAGGCAGAGGTTGCAGTGAGCCGAGATCATGCCACTGCACTCTAGCCTGGGTGACAGCGCAAGACTCTGTTTCAAAAAAAGAAAAAAGAAAAAGAAAAAGAAAATCTCTTAATGAACACACCAATTCTAAGAGTGAAAGGTACTGACTCCAAGATTCTATGTGACTTACACATACACATGCGTATCCACAGATACTTGTTTCCCAATGGATTCACAGCCAACACTGCCAGAGAGGAAGAGATCAGGACCCAAGGGGCCAAGTCATAGTCTGCAAGGAGAACCCTAAGCAAGGAACCCCTCCCTGCTGCCCCTCCTGCCACAGGCACTACTAGGGCCTGGCCAAGAGTATGAAGCTACAAGATGTGGTAATTCACAGGTTTCCAGCTCCAAAGAGAGAAACATAAAGACTAATATTTCATATGTGCCACACTAAGAAGAAAATAAGCCTTTCACCTGGATCCCACTTCCTGGATCAGAGAGGTCTGAGTCAGGCAAACCAAGGCAAACCCTCTCATTAGCAAATTCTTCAACTTATTGGAGACTCTGCTTGCTCAGCTCTAAAATGAGGTTTGTACTGGTCCCTAATTCACAGGGTTAGTGACAGGATTACCAATAGTACAGGGAAAAACCAAACAGTATGGAAAGAGCTCAGCATGGTGGTCACCACCGGCATATGGTGAGTTTCAGTTAGAGGTGGTTATCATGATGATAGGCAGTTCCCTACAAAGGGCCAACCAAAGAGAAACAACAGTTTCAGAAAGAAGGCATCTGTGTGAAGGCTGGCATCATTGAGCATCATGTGAGATACTGACTATCTTGCACGTCCACCTGAATTTATTACCAGACTTGATCCCTCCATAATAAACAGAGAATTCATCATTTTTGTGATGCCTTTGTTTCTTGAGTCCAATGAGGTTTCCCATGCTACTACATTTTTTTACAAATGAAATCCTAAAATTATTTGCAGATTTGAATGAACTGTATCCAGAATTATAGCAGTTCAACCAATAAAAATGTGTACACCCTCTACCACAGTTCTTGTCTTAATTTGGTGGATTTTCCCTGGAATGTCAAAACCATTTCAATACCAGAGTTTCTTTGCGTTTAGAACTGCCTTCTTTCACAGTCCTCAGGAAATATTCTGGAGAAATCAGAGGAATGTGAAACCCAAGATAGCCTTGTTCCACTCTCCAAAACCTACTCATTACCCATGGCAGAAATTCAAATCTACCAGACAATTTGTCTGACGGGGCATGTGTGAACTATGAGACACAGGAACAGTCCCAAGTCAAGAGTTCACGAATTGGGCTGAAAATTTTATAAACTCATAGCAACATCATCCATTTATGAACATTTTGTAAACTCATAGCAACATCATCCATTTACAGAGTCATTTGCAATTCATCAAGTACTTTTGCAACATCCTAATGAAAACATTGATAATAATAAAACAACTTATTTTCACATAGACCTTTAGATGAAAAAATCCTACACGTGATTTATCTTCTTTCATCTTCAAAAAGCTGCGAATCACTTGACATTATTATCTCTATTTTTCAAACAAGAAAATGAAGACAGTGAGAAGTTAAGTAATATGCCTGCAGTCTGGAGGAGGGAATAAAGATACAATCCTAGGTTTGGCATTCCAAACACCATGCTTTTTCCTCTGTTACACTGTCTCACATAAATTTATCTCCAGTAATCTCCAAGGGTGGGTATTAGAGCTATCCATCCTCAGAACTCTGATGTGGAGAAGGAATATTACAGCAAAAAGAGCAGACTTTGTCAAAACAATGTGTCTGTCAGTCCCTGTCATTGAACCACATGAGAAAAACTAACTCGTCAACTGGAGCTTCGCAGAAGGTCCGGCCACCTGCAGGCTGGGGTCTTAAAGAGGAAAAGTGCCCAGCCCCTGGTTGACTTACCTCACCGCACCTTAAATGTCTTGATATTATTACAAGCCGTGTTTGGGAGAGAAGGGAGACAGCCCCGGCCCAGCCCCACCACATGACTGTCAATGGTCCTTACACACATTTGACCAGCTGCAGGGTGCCCAGGCTTCATATCTGGTTGCTGTCCTTGGCTCATTTCTCTCCTTCACATCCCAGATCCTGTCATCAGCAAGGCCTGACACCTCTACTTCCAAGGGATAACTGAAAACAACCACCTCCACTGTTACTACTAGCCCAACCTGCCCTAACTGCTGGCCTAAATCGCTGCGAGAGCCCCTAACCTGTCTCCCTGCTTTCTTGCTGTGAACTGTTCTCCACAAAGCACCAGGGCGATCTTTCTAATGGCTTCCCACTTCAATCAGTAAAACCTAAACTCCTTCCTGCACAAGCCCCTCCCTCACAGATCTCCCTACCCAACTCTCCACCTGCTGCTTCCCAGTCAGCCGAACTAGACTTCTGTGTTTTCCTCTAATCCAAGCTTCTCAACATGTGGAGCCAATGCCAGCAGCACCAGGGAGTCCAATGAAGAATGCAGATTCTCGGGCCCTAACCCTGATCTGCTGAGTCTAAACCTTGGGGTGGAGATTCAGAGTTTTAGCAAGGCCCCAGGGGATAATAAGGCAGCAAAGTATGAGAGCCACTGACCTAATCCAAATGTACTCTCAGTATATTCCTGCCTCAGGGCCTTTGGTGTTTCTGTTTCCTGTACTTAAAATGCTCTTCCCACCAGTTTGGCACATGTCTGACTTGTCTTGAGTCACCTCTGAAAATATCTTAAGTATTTATTTGGGTTTTTTTTTGTTTGTTTGTTTTCCGCTTTCTCACACTCAGTGAGAGCATAAACTCAGTGAGGTGAAAAAAGGGCCACAGTCCTGCTTGCCACTATCTCCCTGGAAGAGCGCAGGGCACAGAGTACACCTTCAACACCTCACTGAGTTGATGCATGAACATTGGAGCACCTGCCCCTGGTCAGCCATGTGACAGTGAGTTCTCCCATTTCGCATGTGAGAAAGTTAAGGTTCATAGAAGGTAACAGGCTAGTCTTTGGTCCGAGTAGAAAAGCTGGAACTTGCACATCCCATTTCCATGCACTTCCTTCTGTATCATTTGAAAAAGCCACTTAAGGAAGGCACCTTATCTTCTGTCCAGACTCAAAGCAGTGTTATCAAATCCGATCTCTGAAAACACTCTACATACTTTGTCATCAACAGTCTGGGCCCCGTGCTCAAGATGCACAAGTTACGAACACCTGCATATCATGGAAAACCCACCCCATTCTAGTTAATGGATCCGACCAAAGAGGCTGGCTCTTGTGACCTCACCCATTAAGAATCATTGTTTCGGGTTAAACAGCATACTTTAAGTCTCTGCAAATATAGAAAGGAAACGGGAAAAATAGTTTACACAATGGTATTGGCTAATTGGTTGGACTTGGCCCTGGCATTCAGATGACCCAGAAGTAGCACATAAAAGGCTTTAAACATTTTTATGCTTTGATCACATTGTGATATTAACTTTGGCTTACTTTTCCATTTTTAACATTCTTATTGATCCTGCCCAACTACAACTACAATTTTTCTTTCTTAACTTTAAAAGCATTGACTCTTTTCAAAAAAAAAAAATACCTAAATTAAGGTCCTTCAGAGAAAGACTTACTTAGGAAGCTAAAATTGTGCCTTGGGAACTTGCTTTTGTCCAACATTACAAACGTTTTGACGTAATCCTAATTCCCCTTATAGACTTTCCCTTGATCATCTCAAGCTCACACTCAAATTCTGCCGTAATGAATTGAAATCTGAGAATTCAATGACTACAAATCATTTGTTCCCACACTCAAGGATTTCAAGCTCAGAACAGCTGGATTTAAATTGCCTGTGTATTTTCTTCCAATCGCATTATCTTTTTTCCTGGATCCAAGTCGCTGTATGCCTTTATTTTCTACACTTGAATACAAATTAACAAAATAATAATAATTAGTGGTACCAATAGGGACTAAAATTCAAAATGACATTTTTATCTAATTGTGTCTCATTACAGTTTACAAAAGGAAAATCATATATTTAAAATCGTATTCATTGATTTTATGGCCTAATTTTTGCTAGCTATTTCAGAGACTGAAAACTCATATAAAGCATATGTAGAAAAAATGTATACATGTTTAGCAAAGAAAATTAAGTCTGCATGTTGTTACATGGTCCAACCAAGGAAAGAAGAAAGAAGACACAAATTACCCACGTTAGGACTTTACTCGGAGTGAGAGAAGAGAGATAGACCCTCTCATATTGTTTTATATTGTTTTATACTCAGAAAAGGAAAGAGAAGCAAAACTAAAGGCAGGTAGCCCGGTGCCTAGGAACCAGACCCGAAACCAAGGAACTAGACCAGAAACCAGCCTGGGCCTGCCTGACCTAAGCCTGGTAGTTAAAATTTGACCCCTGACCTAGCAACTGATGTTACCTATAGATTCCAGACATTGTATAGAAAGACATTGTGAAACTTCCTGGTCTGTTCTGTTTCACTCTGACCACTGGTGCCTGCAGCCCGTCACGTACCCCCTGCTTGTTCAATTGATCACAACCCTTTCGCACGGACCCCCTTAGAGTTGTGAGCCCTTAAAAAGGACAGGAATTGCTCACTTGGGGAGCTCGGCTCTTGAGACAGGAGTCTTGCCGATGCTCCCAGCCGAATACACCTCTTCCTTCTTTAACTCGGTGTCTGAGGAGTTTTGTCTGTGGCTTCTCCTGCTACATCTGCTACAGGAGGCCATCTGTGCTATGCGAATATTACAGGAGATACAGGGAGAACTTCAAGCTAAAGATGACTCCGAACTTTACAGCCAGCTTTTAGGGTAGAAAACAAGTCTTTTCATCATCATATTCCCAGACTCCAGGGGAGCGCCTGACGCTCAGTGGACATCAGAAGCAGTATGTCAAACTGAAATGATTCCCTCCAGCCTCCAGTTTCTCAACCTATGGTAATGGTGCCTATAATAATGCTGGTGGCTGACCTGTTTTTACAAGGTGAGTGAAGTTTTGGAGATTTCAAGCTGTGACATGTACTGACACTAATTGACAGTTCTGTTCACCGTGTTTCTGAGCTTGGAGAAAACCTCTAATTGTTGGCAACATCGTGCAGACTCTGCCACCCTCCCCAGGGTTCCTCAGTCTGTGTCCTGCTCTTTGTTTCTGTTGTGGCTGCTCTTGGCCCCTCTCAGTGGCACAGCGGCATCGGCTCCTCTTTTGCCTCAGCATCAAGCTTCTCCCAGCTAGACTCTGTGCTCCACAGAGCTGCAAGGGCTACTCCTATCTCCCTGACATGCCTTAAGATAACTTGCATGTTCTGACACCAAATGGCATTTCCACATTTGTCTGTGGCCACCCCACACTCCCTTGCTTTTCCTCACCATGTAGATGAAAGTTTAAAAGCCCTAGTTTCCCAAGAAAGTCCTGAGACATAAACATCTCTGAGGCTGCAGTCTCTTCTCTGAACCAGAAAAAATACATATATATTGTGCTGTGGACAAAAACATGTTCCATCATGAATGTGGTTTTCCAGGACCAAGAATAATGATGGAGCAAGGTCAAAGGCCCTACCACAAAGTCAGAAATATTTAATGAATTAAATGCTGCAGCCAGTCAGTGGGAAAGGGAGAAACATCTGTGTTAATTTTTTGATGCTACAAAAGCGAAGTATGCATTTTCAAGGATCCTCATATATGTATATAAATGCATATTTAATGACTTGAAGGACATACATTGAGTATTTTAGCATGAAGGTCTATACATGAGTAAAGAATATAGAATTGGAAACATTTTCAAAAATGGAAATTGTATATCATTCCATTGATGACAATAGTCATTAAAGCATGTTTTATATTAATTTTCTATAATCGAAGTTAAAAATATATTAAACATCACTGAAAAATGGCAGACTAGAAAATCCCCAATCTTCCTTCCTCCACAAAAGCAACTAATGAACTGACAAAAACTGTCAGAATTCTGCAGAATTCTGGAATCTAGTCAAAAACTTATAACAACCAAAGAGATACTTAATAAGAAGCCACTGTGTTGTGGTAAAAGACTGTGGTGACATTGGAATCACCCTCCCGCCAGCCTGCTTCCCTGGATCAGTGGCAGTCATGAAGACTCCAGCCCATGCTCATGGTGCATGTTGCTGGTGCCACAGGAAGCAAAACAAACCTTATTCTCAAACAATTGTGATGTCTTCTCCACCCTGATGGGGTGAGGTCCCCGAAACACCAGCACAAGAGCTGGCCTTTGTTTCATTAGACTCAGAGAGTTCCCAGGGCTGTGGCAGCCTTCTGGACAGCATTTTCCAAAAGCATTTAAAGGCAAAAATATAGGCTGTGGAAGCCTAGGGCAAGGGATAACAATCAGGACAAGTAACAGACAGATCACAAAGCCTGAGAAGCAAGAGGCTGGGAAATGAGACATATGGGGAGATAGGAGCTTTTAAGAGGAGCTGCTCTGTATGCTGGGCAATAAGGAATGCTATGTGCATTCTCTGGGCTAGATGCATGCTTACAAAAGGCCTCAGAAGGCCCTAAGGTTATCTGGCTTTCACCTCCAGCATACCTTCATGCTAACAGGAAGTGCAGGCTGATGCAGAGTTGAAAATGGCCTAGCTAGGCATTGAAGGAGTGCCCCCACAGAGAGCCAATCTGCAATGACCAGGAGAATGTGCATTCTAAGCACGTAAGGAAACTCAAAAAACCTAGCTGACAACTAAGATAATGAAATGCAGACTTCAGCAACCACAATAAAGAATATAGGCTTTAGGGGAAAAGTTCAGAAAATCATGAAACAAACAAGCAAGCAACTACCCACAACAAGCAGCAACAACAAACCTCAGGGAAGGGAAAGAGCCTGGTTTGTAAACTTGCCATGTTATAATATTCAGAGTATCCAGTTTTCACCAAAATGTATGAGGTATGCCAAGAAGCAAGAAAGTATGTCCCAGTCATGAAGAAAAAAATAAATGAATTGAAATGATTCCTGCAGAAGCCCAGGCATCAGCCTTACTAGACGATGACTTTAAATCAACTGTCTTAAATATGCTCAAAAAGCTAGAAAGACCACAGACAAGGAACTAAAGGAAATCAGAACAATGTCTTGGCAAATGGAGAATATCAATAAAGGGATAATCATTATAAAGTTGAATAAAATTGGAATTCTGGAGATGAAAAGTGCAATCTGAAGTTTTAAAATTTACTAGAGAGGTCCAATGGCCGATCTGAGCTGACAGAGGAAATACTCTGTGAACTTGAAGATAGGACAATTGATACTATCCAACCTGAAAAGCAGAAAGAGAAAAGAACGAAGAAAATGGGCAGAGCCTAAGAGCACTTTGGGACACCATCAAACATACCAAAAACATATTAGTGATGAGTGTGAGGAATTATAGGGACATTCCAGTGGCAGAGACTCAGAATGAGATTGTTCATTATGGGAAAAACACCAGAATTCCTGAACACATTTCCTGGTCTTGGCTGTTCCTAACCTGGTCCATCTCAAAAAGCCTTGTCTGGGGGAAGTACTATATCATAAACCAGTGTTTCTGGATTAGAATCACCTGTAGAATTTGTCAAAAATACCAATCTGTGGGCCCTGTTCTCAGCAAATCTATAGGTTTGAAGCTTTCTTTGGAAACCTGTTACAATAAATAAATTAATAAACACAACTTATAGCACCTCTCCCCTGTTGAATTAAACAATAAGAAGAGAAGTATCAATTTAATAACAGACGGTCCTAATAAACACTAAACATTATTCGTGATGGGATATCTTTGGATTGGCCAAAGCAGAACTATGGATTCCCATCAAAACACAGGTCCTTGAGCTCTGTGCCTTGGCCCCACCCTCGAAGACGGGCATTAGATGATGGCTGAAAAGAGAGAGATGTGAGACAGACAGGTGGACAGCTAACGCTACCTGAAGCTGACCCTTTTCCCTTCCTAGTTGGCCTTCCTGGTATTCCTGCTATAGAAAGTCATTAAAAACTAAGACACTTTCTCCTCTTGAAGTAGTAAGCTGTTGTAACCATTGCATTTGATTTGAGCAAATCCACATAGGTAAAAATGATTCCACATAATCTAGAAGGAAGGTAATAGGTCAAATGCAAAAGATCTTAAGCTAGTCCCTTAGCAACTGGGCTAGAAATACTCTTGAACAGGGACTCCTTGGGGAAACCAGCCAGCTTTCCTGTACAGCTCCTTTCCTGAAGAGCTTTTCTTTAATACCTCTTCTAAGCCATCCCTGCCTCTATAGGTTCTTGCTATTCTCCTGCCCCAAAGCCTTTTCAGTTGTATCTTTGTCTTCTCAAATTTTTACCCCATTTCTATCGCTAGAGTAAGAACATGAATCTATACTGTAGAATTACGTGTGTTTAGAAAACACAATGTGTAAACAAGAGAAAAAGTAGGAGACAGGCCCTCCACCCCACAGGTAAGTAGCCATTATTCCGGGACTTCAGACATCTTGCAGTCATTATCCTTGGTCTTCAGTACTGACTCCCCATTCTTACATAATATCTGGAAGTCTCATAGGGATAAAAGTCTCCCACATCTCCTTCCAATCTAATTCTATCCACTGACAGCCCAGCCTCTTGATAAGCCAAACCAACCAAACCAAAAAGAACATTGGATGCTCAGCTACCACCTTGTCTGGTCTGCATTTCAGTCTTGCCATTCCGGGATAAGAATTGAGTAACTTGGAGAGAACTCAGGTAATCGCTAAGTTACTGACCTTTCTTTCCCTGGCCGTGTTCCTCCAATACATCCACTAGAAATGTTGCTTTATTCCCAATTCAAGACTCCCAGTGTTGCTGAAATAACACTTTTCCCAAATGGGGAAACCCATTTGTCTGACTGCTGAGAGGGCACTTTTCTCTGATGACACATTTTTTCTTTTCAGCACTTTCTGTTCTCTAACTCCAGCTGCTGCTGGATAGGTTTGTAAGCCATAAGAACTCACTTTCCAAAAGTAGGTTTCTGCTGACCTCCTGGCTCTAAATATTTCCACTGCCTTTGAAATACACCATGGTGGGGACTGCCAGCCTTCTTCCAAATGAGAGCAATATGTACCCCACTGCAATGAGAACCTATAGGCCTTACATCAGAATTAGCTTTTCTGATGCCCACCAGCCCTATCCCAGCACCCCCTTCCCAACCTGTCTTCTAAGTATCCATGTGTTATCACAGTCATACCACTCAACGTTGAATGCCTGGATGTTCTTACCTATGGGTGTGATTTACTCACCTTTATATTTTCCTGCCCACTGTGTGTAGCACAGAGTCATTTATGCAATGGTTGCTTATTTGTTAAACTATGTACTCTTGCCTCATGCCTCATTATTAGAAAACACTAAATAATGAAAAGGCTGCTACAGAAGAATATATGTATGAAATGTATTCATGGTACATAGTTAAATAAATAGTTTTCAAAATAGTATGACTGCATTTTTAAATTTTTTAAGTCATGTTGGATTCAGCCACAGCAATATTAGAGGGAAATTGTTAGTATTAATTATTTATAAAAAGGGAAGATCTAACATCTACTTTAAGAAAGTAGAGAAAGAAGAGCAAAATCAGCCCAAAGCAAGTTGAAAAAAGAAAATAATAAATATTAGAGCATAAATCATAAAATTGGAAACAGAAAAACAAGAAAATTAATTAAACTAAAAATTGATTCTTTTTAAAAAATAATCAGTAAAATTGGCAAACCTTTAACAAGACTGGCCAAGAAACAAAAAGGGAGAAAATACAAATTTCCAGTATCATAAATGAAAAAGCAGACTGACTACAGACCCCACAGACATTAAAGGGAAGATAAGGAGATACTACAAACAATTCTGCCTCCACAAAATCAACTTAGACGAAGTAGACCAGTCCCTTCAAAGATACAAACTGCCGAAATTCATTAAAGAATAAATGTATAACCTGAATATCCCTGTAGCAATTAAATAAACTAAACTCTTAAAGACATTTCATCAAGAAAAATTTCAGGCCATTATGGTTTCATTGGTGAGAAATAACACCCATCCAAAACACAAACTTTTCCAGAAAATGAGAGAGCAAGGGTCACTCTCCAATTCATTTTAGGAGACAAAAACATTACAAGAAAACTACAAACCAATATCCTTTATAAACAGAGATGCAAAATTCCTCAACAAAATGTAAGCAAATTAAATCCAGCATTATGTAAAAAGATAATACTAGGATTGAACAAATTATTAAATATAGAGTAGAAAATTAGAGCCAGGCTTCTCATTGTCACAGAAAGAAGGAAGGCTAGAACAAACTCTGTGACTGTAAATTGTAGTTAGAGAAATCTGTATAAACTCGTGTTTATTTTAATATGAAACTGCGCTATCACAATAAATATGCTGTGTGTATATGTGTGGGTTAGCATACATAGGTATATTTTCTAGCTCTGTTTACTGAAAGGGCTTAGAAGCAGCAACACTTGGTAGCAACGAGTAACTAAAGCCTAAATTTAACTACCATTCTCCCGTAAAAGGAACCAGGGCACCAATGCTTTTTAGAGAAATAGCGTTTTCTAGGGTTGGGACAGGGAAACTACAAAATGAGTTTGAAGAGCTTAGCAGTGCCAGTAATTAAGTGCTTAAAAAAATAAACAATGAGAGTACTTGAAAAGGATACAGGAGTCAACTTAAAGATCCCCCAGTGGCCAAGCCTTTAACAATTTGAGCAACAAATTAAATAAAATTTGTACTAGATGATACTCCCCTCCACCAATTAAATCTCCCTAAATCCTTACTAATATGAATAAGTAAGTGGGAGTGAAGGAACAAATCTTCCTTCCAGAGGAATTTCAGTTAATAAATATAGAAGTGATGAAGGAAAGAGAAAATTATCACTGGAACTCCACAGCAATAACCCTGCAGGTAAAAGCCACTGATGCCCCTGCAGTTATAGGTGAAACTTTAAGGAGAAACAGGAGATTTGCATAACCTCAAAGTATTCACCCCCAAAACACTTATCAATTACTGAGTGGTTTTAACATATGTCCACAAATTCAAAACTCCTTCTTCCTCCTAGGAGCTGGAATTATTCCACAGCCCTTGAGTGGGGCTGGACTTAGTGGCTCTAATGAACAGACTACAGAAAGGGGTAAAGGTCACATGACGGTGGAGGAACCTGGCCAACCGGCCTGAGCCAAGCGATCCAAACGAACATCACGGTAATAACTTGTGTTAACATCAGCACCCCCAACGTGACATGATAAGAAGGACAAGATGCCTCTGTGATATTCCTCCCCAGATCCATAACCCTGGGTCTAATCATGAGAATACACCAGACAGACCCAAACTGGGAACATTCTACAACATACCAAAAAGCACCCTTTAGCAGTGAACCATGGTCATGAAAGATGAGAACAGACTAAAAATTGCCACAGATTGCAAAAGAGTAAGGAGTAGAGTGACCAGCTGTCTCAGTTGACTCAGGACAAATGAGCTTCCTGGAATGCAAAACTTTTATTTTTAAAATTGAGACAAATAGAGCAAACTAGGATGAGCTGGTCACCCTGCAAATGAGACATGACAACTAAATGCAAGAGAGGATCCTGGATGGCACCAGGTGGGAAAACAGGTGAAATCCAAATAATGTCTGCAGTCTAGCTAATAGTTTTATACCAATACTAACTTCTTACTTTAAAAAGTCTGTGAGTGAGTTGAGGGCAGGAGTAGGTGGCGTGGTTGGGGGTGGGTGCATGTATGTATCTCTCCGTAAGTCTGTTTGAACTAATGTGTGGAAGCACAGGCAACTTAAGTCTCTATATCAGCAGATATCAGGCAAATGGTGGGCTTATGGGAGGTTTTTATTTTCTTCTTTTTTATAGTGCTATTTTGAAATGTTCTAAAATATATCAATTTTGTAATAAGAGATTTTAAAAGATTTACTTTATTAAACTTATTTATTTTATACTGGAAATATGACACACATAAGGCAGTAAAATATACAAGTGGATTAATGAATAATCATAAACAAATGCCTGAGAAGCCACCAAGTGGGGAAAGAAATAAGAGTATTGCCAGGATCCAGAACCCCCATGGAGATCAATTTATTGTTTTAAAGAAACTTGGGTTGAATATGACTGCTGATCATTTTGATTGTGATAAGAACTTACAGCATCTATGATTTCATTTGCATTTTCAATAAAGAATATATAAGCAAAGCTATTAAATTTAATATAGCAATTAGACTTGGTATAAAAGGGTAGAAATGTTATTTAAGAACAGGCACAGAAATATTAACATGCAAATCTCTAATTATCTGTAAATCCAGACATATGTGAAGTATTTGACTCTAAAATTCAAGCATGGAATTATTATCTGGAATGTTTCCACACTAATGATCCTCTTAACTAGTGCATTTTAAAATTTCTAAGCCTCAGTTTCACCATTTGTAATGTCAAACAATTGATATCTGCACTTTCTACTTGATTAATACAAAATAAATATGCTTTGAAACTGACTGAGGCATTAGTAATAAGAGAATATAAGGGGAAATTGATCAGAATTTAATAATATCAACATCTATAGGTCTGGATTAGTGAAGGAGAAAAAAGAGTTACTTGCCACAACAGTGATACACAAACAGAGAACCACAATCCACACATACACACAGACACACACAACTTGAGGATAGAAACTCCCAAATATTCATAAAATAAATATACTGAATATTTGCTAGATATCAAGCCACACATAGTTACTGGAGAGATAAAAATTGCTTAAACATAAAAATGATATTAATAAGTTCATAGTCTCATTAGGGTGAAATAAATTTATTTTACAATATATTAAAAGTCTTTAAGACAGAGATATTCACTCTGATCAATTTAGGAGAGGCAACTAGCTCTCCCGGTGGTGAAGATGTCAACTTAAAAATCACAAGATTTATAAATTTAGAAAGGAGAGCTTTATTTCTTATAAAGGGTTACAGCCTGCAAGGTGGCCATTCTGACAAGCTGGGAAGTGTAGTCTCAGGCAGAGACCATTAACAGGTGCTTCAAGGGAGGGGAGAGTGGAAGAGAGATTTGTGCTGAACAGGATGGCCAGGTATACACATTCAACAGGTTACAGGAAGAGCTATGAATATTCACAAAGCGGGGACACATACATGCATAATAAGCAAAAAGGCTCCTATGTTCATTTTGGAGTGGAAACGACATTTAAATGTATTGCAATTAAGTCCTATAGATCAAAAGATGAAGCAGGGCATGCAGGCACTCAGTGCTCAGCCTCTGTAAACCAGTCACAACCAGCCCATGGCCATGGTCTCTTATCAGGAGAAAGTTACTGAAATCATGTCCTTTGCAGCAACATGGATGCAGCTGGAGGCCATTATCCTAAGTGAATTAATGCAAAAACAAAAAACCAAATACTGCATGTTCTCACTTATAAGCAGGAACTAAACACTGAGTTCACATGGACACAAAGATGGGTTATCTTTCTATTTTTCTCTAATATCAGCTTTGAGTTTCTTGGATTATCTATTATTTATTTTCTGTTTCACTAAGTACTCCACCAATATTTGTTACTTTCCTTTTTCTTTCTTTAATGGGAAGTTATTCTATTTTATTTCTAACAACTCGTTAAATTCATTATTTTTTGGACTTTCTAAAACAGTCATTTAAAGATTTAAATTAACTTTTAGATACTGGTTTAGTTGCATTCTACCAATTAAAATATGTAGAATTTTATTATTATTCAGTTTTAACTATTTCAAAAATTCCAAAATGATTTCTTCTTTGACCCATGAATCTTGGATTTTTTTTAAATCTCTAACTGCATGGAAATGAATAGCTTTTAAAATATTAATTTCTAATTTCTAACAGCCTCTGTTCTTTATATTGTTATTTATTGAAGTTTATGTTGTGCCCAAGATTATGGTCAAATTTGTAAATCTTCTATATATATTACTAGTTTTTACATTCATTCTTAGTTGAGTTGGTGCGCAGGGCTCTATATTACCTCAAGCTTATTAATTTCATTATCCAAATCTTCTATATCTTGTCTGATTTTTCTATCAATTAATTTGAAAGATGTGTTAAAATCTTCCATTATGATTGTATTGCAAATTCTCCTTGAAATCATGTCAATTTTGCTTTATGAAAAAGTATTTTTGTCATTATGTGATAACTCCCTCTTCATTCCTAATAACACTTCTTCATTGCCTTAACTTCTAACAGTTTAGCGTTCTAGTCTATTTATATTATTTCAATGGTTACTCTTACAGTTTCAATAATAAAGCCTGACTAAGTATAAAATTTACTAGTATCAGCACTTAACTTCTGGATAGTAGAAGTACCTTGCAACACCTTAGCTCATCATATTCTCCTGTCTGACCTAGTATTGCTGTGTAGTTTAATCTTGTTTTATAAAGTCTTTATCACTCAACATCATCAGTGTTTATTACATATTGACCATTTTTTTAATCATCAAAGCTTTTTGCATTTCATCCCTCCCTTCTGGGTTCAAGCTGCTTCTTCCTAGATTAAATTCTTTTAGAAGACATGTTAGGGAAGATAAATAGTGTAATTATCTCAGTTTTTGCCTGAAAATGCATTTATTTTACCTGCATTGTTGAATGAAAATTTATTAGATATAAAATGTTCAATTGGTATCTAGCATCCATTTACACTTGCAAACATTTTGTATTGTCTTCTAACCTCTGCTGTTACTGTTGAACAGTCTTGTCAATCTCATAGCTGTTCAATATAGGTCATCTGTCATCTCTTGCAGCTCTTTAGTAATCTTTGGCAACACCTGATCTATTTTCCATCTCTATACCTTTACCTTTTCCGAAATGTCTTATAGTTGGAATCTTACAGCATATAACCTTTTATGAATGGTTTGTTTCACTTTGCAATATGCATTTAAGATACTGCTGTGTTGTGGCATGGATTAATAGCTTATACCTTTTGATCACTGAATAGTATTCTATAACATAAGTCTATCAGTTTGTTTATTCACTCACCTACTGAAGGGCATCTTTGTAACTTCTAATTTGGGGCAAGTATGAATAAAGCTACTATAAACATTTGCATGCAGGTTTTGTATACAAAAGATAGAGGTTTTCAAATCAGTTGCATAAATACCTAGGAGCATAATTGCTACATTATATGTTAGACTGTTTACCTTTGTAATAAACCACCAAACTGTCTTCCAATGTAGTTGTACTGTTTTGCATTCTCAGCAGCAATGAATGAAAGTTCCTATAGCTCCACATCCTCACCAGCATTTAGCACTGGTATTGTTTTCTGGTTTGCTCTTGTTTTTTAGCCATTCTAACAGGTAGTATCTCTCGTTGTTTTAATTTCCATTTACCTAATAAATAATATTGAACATCACTTCATATGCTAATTTGTAATCTGGTGAGATAGCTGATCAGATCCTTTGCCTATTTTTAAATTGGTTTGTTTGTTTCTGTATTGCTGAGTTTTAAAAATTATTTGTGTTGTATATAAAAGTTCCTCAGATATGTGACTTGCAAATATTTTCACCCTGTCGGTAGTCTGTTTGTGGTCTTTTTGTTCTTTTCATAGTGCTTTCAACAAAAGAAAGGTTACTAAAGTTAATAAAGTCCAACTTGTCCTTTTTTTTTTCTTTCAGGGATTGTACTTTTGGTGTTGTTTCCAAAAACCAATCACCAAACCAAAAGCCATTCAAAATGTATCATCTGTTGAATACAAGTTTTATAGTCTTGTGTTTTACATTTATGACCATTTTGAGTTAATTTTTGTATAAATGTGAGGTTCATTTTATTGCATGTGGATATCTAATTGTAGCAATCCCATTTATTGAAAAAACCCTCCTTTCTCCATTAAATTTACTTTACATCTTTGTAAAAAAAAATCAGTTGGCTATATTTGTGTATTCTCATTTCTGGGCTTTCTATTGAGTTCCATTGATCTCTTTTCTTCACCAATACACTGCCATCTTGATTAATTAATTCTTTCAATCCATGAATAGAGAATATCATTCCATTATTTATATCTTTTGTGATTTCTTTCCTCAATGTTTTTTAGATTTTTTCATGCAGATCCTGTATATATACTGTTAGACTTATAAACAAGTACTTCATACGTATTGGTTTTGTTGTGATTTGTCATTGTGTTAAATTTGTTATTCCAGTTATTAAGGTACATTAATTTTGTAGATCAACCTTGTTCTTGTGACCTTGCTAAACTTGGTTATTAGTTCCAGGAAATTTTTATTAAGTTATTTCCAAAATGGAAATGCTTGTCATCTTAAAATAAAAATAATTTGTTTCCAATTTGCATATCTTGTAGTTCTTTCTATTCAATATGACGTTAGTAGTAATTTTATTTTTAATTTTTGTTTTTATTTCTTCTGAAAAAAAAAACAGGATGCATGTGCAGAACATGAAGGTTTGTTACATAGGTATACGTGTGCCATGGTGGTTTGCTGCACCTGTTGACTCGTCTTCTAAGTTCCCTCCCCTGGCCTCCCAACCCCCAACAGGCCCCGGTGTGTGTTGTTCCCCTCTCTGTGTCCATGTGGTCTCATTGTTCAACTTATGAGTGAGAACATGTGGTGTTTGGTTTTCTGTTCTCGTGTTAGTTTGCTGAGGATGATGGCTTTCAGCTTCATCCACGTCCCTGTGAAGGACATGATCTCATGAATTTTTATGGCTGAATAGTATTCCGTGGTATATACATATCACATTTTCTTTATCCAGTCTATCATTTGGATTGGTTCCATATCTTTGTTATTGTAAATAGTGCTGCAATAAACATACATGTTCATGTATCTTTATAATAGAATGATTTATATTCCTTTGGATATATACCCAGTAATGGAATGGCTGGGTCAAATGGTATTTGTGGTTCTAGATCATTGAGCAATCACCATACTGTCTTCCACAATAGTTGAACTAATTTACATTCTCACCAACAGTGTAAAAGTGTTCCTATTTCTTCAGAACCTCACCAGAATCTATGGTTTCTTGACTTTTTAATAATCGCCATTCTGACTGGCATGAGATGGTATCTCATTGTGGTTTTGATTTGCATTTCTCTGATGATCAGTGATGTTGAGCTTTTTTTCATATGTCTGTTGGCCATGTAAATGTCTTCTTTTGAGATGTGTCTGTTTATATCCTTTGCCCATTTTTTGATGGGGTTGTTTTTTTGTTGTTGTTGTAAATTTGTTTAAGTTCCTTGTAGATTCTGGATATTAGACCTTTGTCAGATGAGTATATTGCAAAAATTGTTTTCCCAGTCTGTAGGTTGCCTGTTCACTCTGATGATAGTTTACTTGGCTGAGCAGAAGCTCTTTAGTTTAATTAGATCCTATTTGTCAATTTTGGTTTTTGTTGCAATTGCTTTTGGTGTTTTCGTCATGGTCTTTGCCCATGCCTCTGTCATGAATCTGATGTGGGAATTTAATGCTATAAATTTCCCCCTTAACACTGCTTTAGCTGTGTCCCAGAGATTCTGGTACATTGTCTCTTTCTTCTCACTGGTTTCAAAGAACTTCTTGATTTCTGCCTTAATTTCATTATTTACCCAGGAGTCATTCAGGAGCAGGTTGTTCAATTTCCATGTAATTGTGTGGTTTTGAGTGAGTTTCTTAATCCTGAGTTCTAATTTGAATGCACTGTGATCTGAGAGATGGTTCATTATGATTTCAATTCTTTTGCATTTGCTGAGGAGTGTTTTACTTCCAATTATGTGGTCGATTTTAGAATAAGTGCCATATGGCACTGAGAAGAATGTATATTCTGTTGATTTGGGGTGGAGAGGTCTGTAGGTGTCTATTAAGTCCACTTGATCCAGAGCTGAGTTCAAGTCCTGAATATCCTTGTTAACTTTCTGTCTCATTGATCTGTCTAATATTGACAGTGGGGTGTTAAAGTCTCCCACTATTATTATGTAGGAGTCAAAGTCTCCTGGCAGTTCTCTAAGAACTTATTTTATGAAACTGGGTGCTCCTGTATTGTGTGGATATATATTTAAACTAGTTAGCTCTTCTTGTTGAACTGTTGTTTTTACCATTATGTAATGCTCTTGTCTTTTTTGACCTTTGTTTGTTTAAAGTCTGTTTTGTCAGAGACTAGGATTGCAATGCCTGCGGGTTTTTTTGCTTTCCATTTGCTTGATAAATTTTCCTCCATCCCTTTATTTTGAGCCTATGTGTTTATTTGCATGTGAGATGGGCCTCCTGAATACTGCACACTGATGGATTTTGACTCTTTATCCAATTTGCCAGACTGGATTTTAATTGGGGCATTTAGCCCATTTACATTTAAGGTTAATATTGTCATGTGTGAATCTGATCCTGTCTTCATGATGCTATTTGGTTATTTCGCACACCAGTTGGTGCAGTTTCTTCATAGTGTCATTGGTCTTCAGATTTTGGTGTGTTTTTGCAGTGGCTAGTACCAATTTTTCCTTTGCATATTTAGTGTTTCTTTCAGGAGCTCTTGCAAGGCAGGCCTGGTGGTAATGAAATCCTGCAGCATTTGCTTGTCTGGGAAGGATTTTACTTCTCCTTCACGTGTGAAGCTGAGTTTGGCTGGATAGGAAATTCTGGGCTGAAAATTCTTTTCTTTAAGAATATTGAATATTGATCCCCAATTTCTTCTAGCTTGTAGAGTTTCTGCTGAGAGGTCCACTGTTAGTCTGATGGGCTTCCCTTTGTAGGTGACCTGACCTTTCTCTCTGGCTGCCCTTAACATTTTTTTTCCTTCATTTTGACCTTGGAGAATCTGATGATTATGTGTCTTGGGGTTGATCTTCTCACGGAGTTTTTTAGTGATATTCTCTGCATTTCCTGAATTTGCATGTTGGCCTGTCTTGCTAGGTTGGGGAAGTTCTCCTGGATAATATCCTGAAGTGTGTTTTCCAGCTTGTTTCCATTCTCCCTGTCTCCTTCAGGTACTCCAATCAATCGTAGGTTCGGTCCTTTTATGAAGTCCCATATTTCTTGAAGGTTTTGTTCATTCCTTTTCATTCTTTTTCCTCTAGTCTTGTCTGCATGCCTTATTTCAGCAAAGTGGTCTTCAATCTCTGATATCCTTTCTTCTGCTTGGTCAATTCGGTTGTTGATACTTGTGTATGCTTCACGAAGTTCTCATCCTGTGTTTTTCAGTTCCATCAGGTCATTTATGTTCATTTCTAAATGGGTTATTCTAGTTAGCAGCTCCTCTAACCTTTTATCAAGTTCTTAGTTTCTTTGCATTGGGTTAAAATATGCTCCTTTAGCTCAGCGTAGTTTTTTATTACCCATCTTTTGAAGCCCACATCTGTCAATTTGTCCATCTCATCCTCCATCCAGTTCTACGCTCTTGTTGGAGAAACGTTGCAATCATTTGGAGGAGAAGAGGCACTGTATCCTTTTGGGTTTTCAGCGTTTTTTTTGTTGATCCTTTCTCATCTTCACGAGTTTGTCTAGTTTCACTCTTTGAGGCTGCTGACCCTTGGATGGGATTTTTGCGGGGGCTTTTGTTGTTGATGATGCTGTTGCTGTTGCTGTTTGTTTTTGTTTTTCAATAGTCAGGTCCCTCTTCTGCAGGGCTGCTGTGGTTTGCTGGGGGTTCACGTCAGGCCCTATTCATCTGGTCTGCTCCTGCACCTGGACATGTCATTTAGGGAGGCTAGAGAACAGCAAAGATGGGTGCCTACACCTTCTTCTGGGATCTCTGACCTTGAGGGGCACCAACCTGATGCCAGTAGGATTGCTCCTATATAGGGTCTGACAACCCCTGTTGAAGGGTCTCACCCAATTGGGTGGCTCAGGGAACAGGACCTGTTTAATGAAGCACTTTGTCCCTTGGTGGAGGGGGTGTGCTTCACTTGGGGGAAACCCACTCATCTGGGCTGCCCAGATTCCTCAGAACTACCAGGAGGAAAGGCTAAGTTGGCTGGTCCGCAGAGACTGTGGCCACCCCTCCCCCTAGGGGCTCAGGCTCAGTGAGGTCCAGGTTCTGTCCCTGAGCCTCTGGCTGGAGTTACTGGAGTTCCTGAAGGGAAGCTCCACCCAATGAGGAAGGATGGGTCAAGGTCAGGCCTGAAGAAGCACTCTGGCCACTCTGGCCGCAGTCTGCCACAGCTGGTGTGTTGGGCTGTGGGGAACATGTCTTGGGACCAAGCCGTCCACCCTCCCTGGCTCCAGCAGGGGAAAAGCACAGTCTGGAGCTATGGAGATGAATGCCGCCCTTCCCCCAACCCACGGAGCTTAGCGTGTTAAGCAGTTGTGAGTGCCAATGCTGGCTGCTGCCCCTCCCCCAAGGAGCTAAAAAAACAGCTTAGACAGCAGCTGCAGCTGTAGTGCTGGTCGCCCCTCCCCCCAGGACCTCAGTAGGCTTAAGCAGATTCCAGCTGACAGGCTGTTGAGAATCTGCACCGCTCTGTGGTTGGGACGCTAGGCCCTGGTGGTGTGGGTTTGCAAGTGGGATTTTCCACTTGCAAAGTTCCAACTGTGCAACTTGTTGGTTGCACAGTTCCATGGAAAAAGCACGGTACCCTCACTCACCGCCTCCCTTGGCTGGGGGGAGGGGGCTCCCCTGCCCCATGTGGCTCTCAGGTGGGCGGCCCCACACCACGCTGTTCATCCTTCCTTTCCGTGGATCATACCAGCCTCCTAGTCAGATCTCTTAGTAGTAATTTTAAAATTTTTTTTTGAAAAATTAAATACACATATACACAAAATATGATCTTACAGTTTTTCTTAATTTAATATCATGAATAAAATTTTTTGATTTATGAATGTTGAACCAGCTTTTCATTCTTGAAAGGAACTCCAGTTGATTGTAATGTATTATCCTTTTTATTGCAGGATTTTATTTGCTAACATTTTGCTAAGGATTTTTGCATCTATATTAATGAGATATATTTGCAATTTTCTTGTAATATTATCTGATTTTGGTAATTAGGGTAATCTTGGTCTCATAAAATGAATTGAAAAGTTTCCTTCCTTTTGTATTTCTGGACAATATTATGTAGAATTTGTATTATGTCTTCAAATATTTAATATAATTTGCCAGGTGGTTTCACTGGCAAATTGTTTAGAATTTAATTGACAATTTAACGTCTTTAGTAGATATAGAGACAGTCAAGTTACCCCTTTCTCCTTAATTGGATTTTTGCGATTTGTGTTTTTCCAAGAATTGGCTTATTTCATTTCAGTTATAAAATATACAGGTGTAAAGTTGTTTGTAGTATTCCTTTATTATCCTTTCAATATCTATGAATCAGTAGTCATAACCCCTCTTTCATTCTTGATATTAGAAATATATATCTTTATTTTCTTTTTACAGGTTAGTCTGGCTAGAGGTTTACCAATTTCACTGGACTTTTCAAATAACCAAATTTTTGTTTCATTGATTTTCCCTATTTTTTCTGTTCATTGATTTCTGCTATAATTTTTATTGGTTGTTTTCCCTGTTTGCTTTACACTTAATTGTTCTTTTTTCTCCAGCTTACTAAGACTTGATGCCTGGGTAATGGGTTTGTAGATATTTCTACTTTTCTAATATATGTATTCAATGTTATAAATTTCCTTAAGGTGCTGTGTTAGCTGTATCCTATAAATTATAAGTTTTGTTTTAATTTTCATTCAGTTTAATTTTTAAAATTTCATTTGAGACTTCTTTAACCAACGGTTTTTTTTAAAACATATTAAATTTCCACATATGTTGATATTTTCCTATTTTTCATTTATTGATTTCTTAATTTCATTGTGTCTTGAGAATGCATTTTGTATAATTTCCCTAATCCTCTCCATTTAAGTGTTGTGGTTTTTTTTCACTGAGAATATGGGCTATCTTGGTGAATGTTCCATATGTACTTGAGAAGAATATGTAGCCTGCTTTTGTTGAATAAAGTGCTATATAAATACCAATTAGCTCAGTCTGCTTGACGGTGCAGATCAGGTAATATGTATCCTTACTGATTTTCTCCTCACCTTATCTATCTATTATTAATAGAGGGGTATTGGAGTTTCAAACTATAATAGTAGATTTGCCTACCTCTCATTTCAGTTCTATTTGGTTTTGCCTCATCTATTTGATGCTCTGTTGTTAGGTGCATACATACTTGAAATTATGTCTTCCTAGAGAATTGGTCTCTATATCATCATGCAAGATACCTCCTTATACTGATAAATCATCCTTGTTCGAATGTCTGTTTTGTGTGAAACAGATATAGCTATTCCAGCATTCTTTTGATTAGTGTTAGCATGGCATAAGTTTCTCCATCTCTGCTTTTAACCTACTTGAGTCTTTATATTAATATTTAAAATGGTTAGGCAGCATATGATTGGGTCTCTTTTTTTAATCTACTCTGATAATCTCTAACTTTTCATTGTTACAATTAGGCCATTTTTAAGTTGATTATTAACAAAAATCTACTATCTTTCTAACTATTTTCCATTTGTTGCTTTATTCTTTGCTTCTCCCTTTTTTCCCCTTTTCTGCATTCTCTCGTTTTAACTAAGCATTTTATTTGATTCCATTTTATCTCTTCTCTGGGCATATAATTTGTACTTTTTTTTAACTTCTTGAGTGGTTGCTCAAGGGTTTATAATGCACATTTTTAAATAATCTAAATTTATCTTCAAATAATACTTTATATATATTGATGGGTAATGAAGATATCTTAAACAGAATATTTCCAAATTCCCCCTTTCAATTCTTCTGACAATGCTGTTATTCATATTACTTATCCATATGCTATAAACTTCCAATATTATTACTATTGTTGCTTTAAGGAGACTGTTATCTTTTAGATCAATTAAAAATAAGGGAAATTAGTATATTTTATCATCATTTCTTTCTTTTCTGATGCCTTTCCTTTTTAATATAGATCTAAGTTTCTGACCTATATAATTTTCCTTCTGCCTGAAGAATTTATTCTAAAATTTCCTTCAAGGCAGATCAGTTTACAATGAATGCTCTCATTTTTTTGTTAGTCTCAGAAAGCCTTTATTTCTGCTCCACTTTTAAGAAGTGGTCAGCTATAATTTCACTGGTTATAAAATTTTAGGTTGAGTTTTTTTTCAACAGGTTCTTTAAAGAACTTATTTCATTTTCTTGTTGTTTGCATGGTTTCTTATAACAAATCTGCTGTAATCCTTATCTTTGTTCCTTTATAAGTGATGTATATTCTTTCCCTGGTTTTTTTGAAAATTTTCTTTTTGTTTCTCATTTTCTACAATTTGAATATAATACGTATAACTTCTTGGACCTGTATGTTATTGTAGTTTCAATCAATAAAACGTGAAACTTAGAAAGTGCTTGGCTATTATATTTTTTAATATTTTCTATCCATCCATTCTCTTTTTCTTTTTTTTCTGGTACTGTGTATATGTTGTAATTTTTTATATTACCCCACGGTTTTTGGATATTTTATTCCGTATTATTATTATTTCTAATTTTCTCTTTGCATCTGAGTTTTAGATGTTTCTGTTGACCTATACTCAAGTTCCATGATTCTTTAGCTATATTGAGTCTCCTGATGACTCCACTGAAGGTACCCTTCTTTTCTGTTACAGTTTTATTATTATTATTATTATTAGCACCTCTTTTCGGTACATTTTTATAGTTTCAATTTCTCTTCTGACATTGTCTACCTGGCCTTGTATATTATTATTATTATTACTACTATATTATTTTAGCTCTTAACATGGTTATTTAAAAGTTCCTATCTGATAATTCCTACAATTGTGTCATATCAGAGTCTGATTCTGATTATTCCTCTCTTTTTATTTTGCCTTTTCAGATTGTGAAGCTTTTTTTGTTTACTTTGCCTTTGTCATTCTTTGTAATTTCTTGTTGAAAGCCAGCCGTGTTGCCTAGGATAATAGTTATTGAGATAAATAGGACATTAACATGAAGATTTATGGTAAATCTTCATTTAACATATGTTAAATAATCATTATTTAATATATATCAAGATTTATGTTAAACTTGATATGTCTAGGAGTTGAGATATGTTTAATGCTTGTTGTAGCTGTAGCCACTAAAGACTTCAAATGCCTCCAGTAAGTACTTTTGTTGTTGCTTTTAAAAATTTTCCACCCCTCTTTGCTTTTTTTTCACCCCTCTTTTATACAACGTTCTCAGAGAGAGTCTTTATCTCACACCTTGTTCAGCTGTAATCCACTTATTACTGGTGGCTTGTTAGCATGGTGATAAGGTGTAGGAGGAGGGGCATTTTCTCATCTCCTGACTATTTCTCAGTATTTTGGTTGGCCTATGCCTCATGGTATGTTTTGTACAAGTATTTCTCATACACCTCCACCCTCACTCCCTTCTCCAGCTACAGAATTCCACTGAATTCACAGAATTCTTCTAAAAACTAGCATATTTATGGAATGTTATATTATAATGAAAGGACATAGGCTAAAATCAGCCAAGGGAAGAGATACATGGGGCAGAGTCCCAGAGGATTCCAAATGCAGATCTTCCAGGTGTCATTGTCCAGTGGATTCACAAACAGCATAAATTTCTTCAAGGGATGACATGTGTTAAGATAAACATAGTATCTCCAACCAAGAAGCTCACCTGAGCCTGGGGCTTTGGCCACTGGGCGGTTTAATAGCAGTGTGATTTATGATGAGGGCTTTGGGCCATGCAGTATTCACTCTTCCTCCAGAGGAGCTGGAGAGTAAAAGTCAGTGACTTGGGCAGTCAACCCTGTCTTTTTGCTCAAGCACCAATCAGAACCCGGGACAGCAAGACTCAGGTGACTGTCCCTGGTTGTCAATACCCCACAAGCATTGTAACATACCATTCCCAGCAGAAGCTGACATTGTCCATACTCCACCATAAGGACAACTAGAAGCTCCACGTCTGGAAAGCTCTCAACTCCGCTCTGCATCTCCCCCTTGGCCGATGGTAATCTGTATACTTTCACTCAAATAAACCATAACCATGAGTATAACAGTTTTCAGTGAGTTCTGTAAGAACTCACCTAGCAAATTATCAAACCTGAGGGTGACCTTAAGAACCTATAAATTCTGCAGATGGTGCAGAAAGCTGCCTTGTGGACTGCCTCCAACTTTGCAAACACAGGAAAGGAATCAGCCTGCACATGAAGCCCCTGCAGTACTGGGCCAGCCTCCCTGCTCTGCGCTGCAGGGGTGGTGTCCACCTCCAGCTGGGAGGGCAGCAAGAGAAAGGTGTGGACAATGATGCTTCAGAACTGTAATCTCCTCTTCTGCATTCCACTGCAGAAGACAGATTTATATGACAATCCTGGGGTATAAAAAAAGAAAAAATAAACCTTAGAAAATTAAAAAGGATTTTTCCTAAATTAAGACTGACAACATCTCACACATAAAACATACATGTAGAGGTCAGGCACGGTGGCTCATGCCTGTAATCTTAGCACTTTGGGAGGCCAAGGGCAGGCAGATCACCTGAGGTTAGGAGTTCAAGATCAGCCAGGCCAACTAAAAATACAAAAATTAGCCTGTAGCATGGTGGCCCACACCTGTAATCCTAGCTACTTGGGAGGCAGAGGCAGGACAATCGCTTGAACCTGGGAGGCAGAGGTTGCAGTGAGCCAAGATCATGCCATTGAACTCCAGCCTAGGCAACAGAGGGAGACTCCATCTCAAAAAGAAAAAGAAAGAAAGAAGGAAGGAAGGAAGGGAGGAAGGGAGAAAGAAACAGAAAGAAAAGAAAGAAAGGAAAGAAAGAAAGAAAGAAAGAAAGAAAGAAAGAAAGAAAGAAAGAAAAGACAGACAGACAGAAAGAAAGACAGACAGACGTGGAAATACTTTTATCCTATACCTTAAGAAAACATTAATCAATTAAAATGTACATTTTGCTTAATCATCAGATTAAAATTAGAGTTTAAACCATAGAAAATTTTAAAGAAATAGTCATGTCAACAACTCCTCTCCAACCCAGAACTATAGACATACCCACTTCCCACTGTGAGTGAAGGTAAGGGGTGATATGAGATTGCAAAAAAAAAAAAAAAAAAAAAAAAAAAAACCAGACTGAAGAACCCAGAAGAAAAAAATGGCTGAAATACAGGGAACATAACAAGAAAAGAAGAAACACTGCCTAGTCTAGGAATGGACGTCACCGCATACTTTTCAGCCAAGCCCAGACAGTCCCAGAATCGTTCTCAACACAGCACCCCAGTTGCTACAAATAGATAGATCACGAAATTCCTTCACCACTCCAAAATTAAATTAACCATGAACAGCACATGGACTGTGGACCCATGGCATAAAAGGCCAGAGTGAGCTCCATTAGTTCATGCCTGACACTGTGCTAGGTACATTTAAGTACATTGTTTAGCATCCTCAGACTGACGCTCCTTTTGTAATGAGGAAAGCAAGATATAGAGGGGGAATCTGACAAGTCAATGTCACACCACTCAAGCTTTACTGGTACGTAGCTACACTCATCATTTCTATATTGTTCACAGCTGCTTTTGCACTAAACAGCAGAGTTGAGTAGTTGTGACAGAGACAGGAAGGCCTGCAAAGCTTAAAATATATACCATCTGGTCCTTTTCAGAAAAAGTGTGCTGACTCCTGGTCTAGAAAATTTTTCACTATAGTTTTAAAGTTCCAGAATAAATAAGTACTGTTACATATACTTTCTATTTAGCACTATTTTAAATTAAGGTTGCCAATGATCCACTTCATACTTTGTGAGAATAAAAAACAAAATGTAATATGACTTTCTTTGCCAATCATTCGACCCATGACTTCATTTCCAGAAAAATAGAATTCTGCATCCCAAGAGCATTTGGCATATGACAGCTCCAGAAATCAAAAAGAAAAATATCAATACGTTTCAGGCAGTCTTCTTTTGCGGACTAGTTGGGAAGCATTTTATTATATTTATATTTATATTATATTTGTAAATAAAATAATAGTGACCATGAATTGAGTGCATACAATGTGCTCGAAACATACTAAATGCTTCACAGTATTTTTCTATCCTCAAAACAACACAATGACATAAGTGCTTTTCCTTTTTTACAGAAGAAGAAACTGAGGCCTAGAAATGTGAAAAAATTTGCCCGAAAACACTCATGAAAAGCAAGAACCCATAGTCACACTCAGGGCTGGGGGACTCCAAAGTTGGTGCTCTCTCCCAGCATGCAGAACAAGGATTCTAGGCTGGAAGCTGAGAAGCAAGAAAAGGGAGGAAGAGTGAGCCTCAGCTGGGCACTGACACATGACTGGCACTAGAGCTGGCACCTGACACATGACATCTTCACATCACACTCTTCCTTCACTTAGATGGAGAAATAAGGTCTGGAGAGGTTGATAAAGCTTCCCCGAACTGTTCCCATTCATGGTACCTCTTTCCTTGCCTCTGTGTTACTGATCTGAGCCATCCATGTTAACATCACACAAAATTCAATGACTCTACACCAGCGGTCCAGGATGATGACATGAGGTGTCACTGGGGGGGGTAGTTCTTGCTACTGAGATCCATCCTCTCCCACAGCAGCACATCACTCATAATATCACAGTCTTTATTTTCAACAACCCCACTGACCCCAGAGACAAAGCATGTCCCATGTAGAGCTGGGAAAAGGTTTAATACTGATAGGGAGGGAAAAGTTCACATGATAATTCAGCCAAGAAACTGAGCTGGCCATTCTGGCCTCTGTTCTCTTGCTGTGAACTTGAGCTCCCATAGCCAAGTACAACTCAGGGTGGCCATGTCCAGAGCGTGTTAAGGGCCTTTCATTCCATTTCCTCGTCAGTATCCCGGGAAACGGGCAGTAAACACCAAAACAACAGGACAAGGAAATAAAATCTTAAGCAATTAATTATTATAAGATTTCCACACAGGTTCCAAGAATGAGGAATAACAAGAATAAGTAGGCTGGATAAACATGGTTTTATATGGATTTTATTCTTCCAAATGTCTTCTATGTACAAACTCCAAGTGGAACCTAAAACTTAAAAAACAGAGCTGTTTAACAACACTGTCATACTAGAAGCTTATGAAGGGGCTGCAGCCCAGCCTGGCCAACCAGGCCTGGCACCCGAGGGGTCCCTCATTGAGCAGAAGGGGCTCTGGGGCTTGTGTAAAAGGCAGGGTGCAGAGGATACAAAAGCCCACCTCACGCACCTCTTTCTACATCCATGCTATTTCTCCCTTTGTAAGCTGGGTCTGCCTTGATAATTTTAAAAGGAAACACAAGCAAGGAAACTTTTATCTCCACAATTTTGCAGTATATAAAAAAGCTGTTTCCCTATTTGGTTAAAAAAATAATTTACAAATCCCTTGAAAATCCTCAATAACAGTTTCAAGAGGCTGTGTTGTTATCCTTGCTTTCTGAAAAATAGTCAATGTGACATCAAAAACAAGAGAATATATCTCTCCTGGCCTCAGTTCAAGTAACTCTTCCCTAAGAGCGGATCTGTTTATCTTTGAGTGACATGATAGTCATGTCAAAACCACAAAGTGAAGTAGACCATCAACATGATTACTAGTTGATTCAAACCAAAAGGCCAGGAAAGCACCAATGGCATGGCTCCATTGGACTATAGTAGTCTATTGTGCTTCTCTGATAATTTATCACTCAGATTTTCACCTTGGTTTACCACTGTGATTCATCTATTTCTTCATTCAACATACGTTTACTAAGTATGGCCAATATCCCAAACACAGTACTGAGCACTGAGGACACAATTCAAAGATAACAACTGGACACAAGAGAAATCTGCAGTCAAACAAGGACCCTAGAAGCACAGTGGGATACAGCACACTGGGATCAGCCCTGCAAACACAGCATGCCCAGGGAGCCAGGGGCACCCTGAAGGCACAGCCCAGCCTGAGGGGTGCAGAGAAGCCTTCCTGGAGCATTTAAGAATGCCCAAGTGAATTCCTGAGAAAGGAATCGAAGTTATCTCCATGGAGACCAAGGAAATGGCATCCTGACAAGAAGTACAGCTGAAGGCCCTGAGTGGTGACAGCCTGTATCAGTCTGCTCAGGCTGCTGTAACAAACACCACAGCTTGTGCAGCTCAAACAACAGAAATGTATTCTCTCACCATCCTGAAGACTGGAAGTCTGAGATCAAGGTGTTCTCAGGGCTGGTTTCTCCTAAGGCCTCTCTCCCTGTTTTGTAGATGGGGCATCTTCTCCCTGTGTCCTCATGTGGTCATTTCTCTGTGTGCGTGTGAGTCCTAATTTCCTCTTCTTAATAGAACACCAGTAATATTGGATCAGGACCCACCCTAAGTACCTCATTTTATCTTAATTGGTAAATCTAGGTGTATTCTGGGCTCCTGGGGGTTAGGAGTTCAATATATGAAATTTGGGGTGACAGGATTTGGCTCATAACACAGACTTACAAGAGTTCAATACAAAAGGCATGTGATAGCAGAATGGAAGGTGGTGAGAGGCGGCTCTTCATGCCCCTGACCACTGAGAGGAGAGGAACCCAACCACAGCCCCACACACTTGCTGTGTAAGCATCTGAATGGCTGGTGGCCTTAGAGACCACAGTGGGAACCACCCACGGCACAGGGAGTACATGTGGCATGAGAAGGACTTTCTAATCCACGTGGGGTGTCCCTGGGGCAGTGCCTGACCACAGGCCACATAACAAGGTATGTGATGGAATGCAGGTATGTTTGGCACCAAAGCCTGTGTTCCGTCACACACAGGTGCTGAGAAGGTGCATATCTTAGCCTGGGCTCCCATAACAAATTACCTGGGCACCCTAAACAGCCAACATTTGTTCCTTACTGTTCCAGAGGCTGGAAGTCCAAGATCAGGGAACCAGCCAACTGGTTCCCTAGTGGGGGCTCCTTTCCTGGTTTGCACACAGCCACCTGCTACCTCTGTCCTCACAGGTGAGAGAGGGGAAGCTCTGGTGTCTCTTCCTCTTCTTGTAAGGACACTAATCCCATCATGGAGGTCCTTAGGACTTCATCTAACCCTAATTATCTCCCAAAGGCTTCACCTCCAAATACCATCACAGAGGCAGTTAGGGCTTCAACATATGCATTTCAGGGGGTCACAATCCCACTTACAGCAGGATGTGAGGCCAGGGACAGGCAGCCTGCACATCCTGGGGCAGACTAAGATGCCTGACACAGTGAGGGAGAGAAGGTTCACCCCAACCCTGGGTGCTGAATCCATGCCGGCTTCCAAGGCCAACAGGTCGCATACAGCATTTCATTCTATCCTCAGAGTGTCCAGGCAACTAAGTTAAACATTTTCTTCTTGAGCTACAGGGCAAGATCCTTGATGAGCTGTCTCTTGCCCCAGTCTTAATTCGTCCAGGTTCCCCTGTAACTCTCTGATGATTAATTAGCACCCATGTCCAACATTTTGCCTCGTATACCAAAGTAAAGTCTTACTGCAGTCATTTGACTCATTTTAAATTTTATGGTACTGGTATGTATCAGTGGGGAGGGAGGAATACAGAAAGTGTTCTCATTAACAGTTTGTCCTTTTTACTTCTTGCCCACACCCCTTGAAAACAAGAGCAGGTGTATGTTTTCTCATGCAACTCCTGAGAAAATGCTTTGAAAATTTAGTATCCCCTGATCTTGGATGGCAGAGGTATCTGAAAGGGAAGGATTTGGAGATCAGACTAAACTAAAAAATAACTTTATTTTATCAAAGCAGACACAACTGCTCTTAGCTCTCAGCTACAAAGGGAGAATGCCCAGACTCCGCCTCTACCCCAGGAAACACAGTGTGGCCTTCCAGCCCCAAAACAAGACAGCCAAGTGAGAGCTAGCTGAGACAGTGGGGCTCTGACCTGCTTCTCCCCAAGGAGTGAAGATATTTATTTGACGTTCTTGTTGAAAGATCATATATACATATGAACCAACTAGTTTTTCTTTGTCAGATATTGCAGAAAATACAGGACGCCTCCCCATATGTTACCACAGTTCTCCCCAAAAAGGCAGGTGTACAGGCTGGAGAAGTCAAAAGGCAGCGGCAGGCACACCATGCAATTCAAATAGTGCACCAGCTCCAGGTCCCAGTCAACTGAGTCAAAAAGTGGCTCCATTTAGCTTCTTCAAACAGGAGAACTTCATGCTGTCATATCCCTTTCTCATATACATGCAGGTTCTGAAAGATTCTTCGCATCTGCCAAGATCCTCACCTGATTTAAAAAGGAAATTGCTTCTAGAGACGAAAATCAAATTCATCATTTTTGCAGCTATTAAAAGAAAGAGGAAGTCAACTTCAGTTCTAAATAGGGCCTGAAGCAAGGCTGGTGGAAGCATTTGTCCATCTTTAGTCTATTCATTAATTCATCTGTCCATTCATTTGCTTAAATCACTTACTTTTAGCTGCTGGGTTTCCCTGAGTGACCACAGGAAATCCAAGACTCCCGTTCATCCCTCACCCCATGGCCTACCCATGCATCACCCTTTCTGAGTCAGCTCACACCCCTCCCTGACTCAAGTCCTTCACAGTCTTTCTTCTGTCCTTCTTCCTGGATGTGCTCCAGCTGACTCCACATGTACCCCTAGGACTCATTTCCTGGCATCCTTCTCAGGTGTTGCTGTTTTCTTTTAAGGCTTCAATCTGTTGGGCCTCAATGTGGGCTAAATACCCTTCTTGCTCATTGAAATCTCCAGAACATTATCCACCTCTCTTCCCTTTAACCTCCCATCAGACCCTACCACCATGTGCCTGGCACAGAGCAGACATTCAATACTTTTTTATCAAATTAATGATTGTCATCTGTTACCGCCCTCTTCCCACCCCACATGTGCAGTAATCTCTAGACCGCTGGTCTTCCTCTTCATTCCTTGATCATGGGTCACTAGGATCTCTGCAATCACTCCTGCCACAGTTTTTGATGATTTTAATACACACAAGAGAGCTCCTTGCAGGGCCTAGCTTTCCCCTTCATTTATTGCATCATCTCCAGATGAGTCTGTCCTCTGCCCCACCTCAGCCACCCACCCCTCCCATGGCCACCCCAAGACCTTAGCATGACCAAATGAACACAGCACCTCCATTCACTCAATCTCAAACATTCCACCCTCCCATCTCTTTCAAATGTCCAGCTCCCTTCCTCCAGTACTTCTAGTCTGACAATACTGTGACTCCTGTTATGATGTCTTATTCATGGATCTGAACATATCACATCAAGTCCTTATTTCCACCTGCCCCTGCTTAAATTGCATGGTACACCATTATGATCATGCCCTTGCAAACATCCCAGCTACCTGGCTTGCTGCCTCTATCAAATCACCCTTGCAAAATAAGTAACTTCCCCTAGGCCATGCCACCCCATAACCTTAATTGGAGAAAAATATACAACCATACTGTCTCAATTCATGTTATATTAGTGACCAAGTGAGCAATAACCAAGCAATCCTATTTTATTTCCCTAGTCCAGATGAGCTCCCACTGTACCTGGGAGATTCTCACACCTTTTCTTTTCTCTTGAAACCCACAGCAACCCCTTCATTGATGACAGTGCTTCCCAGTGCAAGTAGAAGCAAGGCCAAGAGAACTTTCAACTGCTTTCCTCACAACAGTTAACCAGCCAAGTGTAATCTGACTCTAAAGTCTGGCTTCATTCATCTTACTCAACAAATATTTATCGAAGAATACACTAAGTGCTATAAATTCTCTAGTGAAGTGAGCAGGGTGTGGGAAGACAGAAATCCCTACTTTCATTGAGATTGTGTATCAGTTTACTATTGCTGCTGTAACAAATCACCACATATTCAGTGGCTTAAATCAACACGAATGTATTATCTTACAATCCTGGAGATCAACAGTCCAAAATGTATCTTAAAGGGCTATAATCAAGGTGTTGGCATGGCAAGTTCCTTCAGGAGTTTCCAGGGAAAATTGGTCCCTTAACTCCCCACATCTAGAGGCCATGGCATTCCTTGGCTCCTGGTCACATCACTCGACTCTCATCTTCCATTATCACTTTGCTTTCTACCCTTCAGTTTATCTATTTTTGTTATTCCTCATCCTTTTGGTGTCATATCTAAGAAATTAATATCATGAAGATTTAGTTGTATGTTTTCCTCTAAGAGTTTTATAGTTTTAGTTCTTATATTTAAGTATTTTATTCATTTTTGGTGAATTTCTGTATATAATTTGAGGAAAAGGTTTGACTTCATTTTTTTACATGTGGATACACAGTTTTCCCAGCACCATTTGTTGAAAAGATTGTCCTTTTCCCCATTGAATGGCTTTTGTGCCCTTGTCAAAAATCAATTGTCTGTGTATGTGAGAGTTTACTTCTGGAATATCTATTCAAATCTATTGGTCTGTATGTCTGTCTTTATACAAGTACCTCACTGTTTTGATTACTGTATCTTTGTGATAAGTTTTGAAATCAGGAAATGTGAGTTGTCCACATTTATTCTTTTCAAGATTGTTTTGGCTATGCAAGGTCCCTTAAGATTTCATATGAACTTTAGAATGGGTTTTCTATTTCCACAAGAAAAAAAAAATTGTTGGATTCAATCTGTAGATTGCTTTGATTAGCAAAGCAAATCGAGTAGCATTATCACCTTAACAATATTAAATCTTACACCATGAACACATTCCATTGATTTATGACTTCTTTATTTCAGCAATGTTTTGTAGTTTTCAGTACGTCTTTAATTTCCGATTAAATTCCTACATATCTGTTCTTTCAGATGCTACTATAAAAAGAAAGTTTTAAAAAACTTGTCCTATTGCTTATTTCTAGTGTATAGAAACACAACTGATTTTGTTTATTGTTTTTTTGTCCTACAACTTTGCTTAATTCATTTATTAGCTCTAATAGTTTTGTTATTAAATCCTTAGAGCTTTCTACACATAAGACCAGGTCATCTGTGAATGGAGAACTTCTCTCTTTTCAATTTGTAAGATTTTCATTTATTTGACTTCTCTAATTGCTCTGGCTAGAATTTCTACTACTATATTGAGTAAAAATAGCGACAGTAGGAATCCTGCTCTCGTTCCCATTGTTAAGGGAAAGCTTTGAGTCTTTCAATATTGGGTGTGATGTTAGCTGTGGGTTTTTCATATATCACCTTTATCGTGTTATGGAAGATATCTTTTATTCTTCATTTACTGAGTGTTTTAAAAGAATGTTGAACTTTATCAAATGATTCCTCTGCATCAACTGAAATGTTCGTATATTTTGGGGTCTTTTTTCTCCCTTCATTCTATTCATGTGGTTTCTTACATTGAGTGATTTTCATACGTTGAACCATTCTTGCATTACTGAGATAAATCCCATTTGTCATGGAGTATGATCCCTTTAATATGCTGCTGTATTCAGTTTGATAGGATTTTATCAAGAGGCTTTGCATCTATACTTAAAAGAGACAATCTTGTAATGTCTTTGTCTGGCTTTGTATCTACGTAATGCCAGCCTCATACAATGAATTATGAACTATTCTCATCTCTTCAATTTTATGAAAGAGTTTGGCAATGATTGGTATAAATTTTCATTAAAGGACTGATAGAACTCATCAGTGAAGCTGTCTGATACTGAGCTTTTCTTTTTTGTAAGATTTTTGATTACAGACTCAATCTCTTTACTCACTATTGGTCTGTTTAGATTTTCTATTTCTTCATGATTCAGCGTTGGTAGGTTGTATGTTGTAGGAATTCATCAATTTCCTGTAGGTAATCCAATTTGTTGGCATATAATTGTTCATTAGTAGTTTCTTTTGATCCTTTGTATTTCTATGGTATCAGTTATAATGTCTATGATTTCATTTTTAATTTTATTTATTTTAGTCTTCTATTATTAGTATAGCTAAAGGTTTGTCAAATCTGGTAATCTTTTTAAAGAACCAAATTTTAGGTTCATTGATACTCTCTCTTGTTTTTCTATTCTCTATGTCATTTATGTTTCCTCTAATCATTATTTCCTACCTCCTTCATGCTTTGGCTTTAGACTGCTTTTCATTTTCTAGTTATGTAAGATACACAATTAGATTTTCTATTAATATCATTCTTCTTTTTTAATGTGTTTAGAGCTTAAATGTTCCTTCTGACCACTGCTTTTATTGCATTCATAAATCTTGAATATTGTATTTTATTTTTATTCATTGTAGAGTATTTTCTACACTTCACGGTGCCGGGACCTGGGCTGGAGGGCAGGGCATCAGTTATGGAGTAACCTGAGCAGGACCCCACCTCAGACGATGCCACGGACTTGTTCCTGGAAAAGTTCCAGAGCCAGCCTTACCGTGGCGGCTTTCATGAGGACCAGTGGGAAGAGGAATTTGAAAAGGTCCCCCTGTTTATGAAGAAAGCGCCATCAGAAATTGATCCCAGGGAGAATCCTGACTTGGCTTGTCTCCAGTCAATTATTTTTGATGGGGAGCATTCTCCAGAACAGGCCAAGACCTATAAAGATGAGGGCAATGATTATTTTAAAGAAAAAGACTACAAGAAAGCTGTAATTTCCTACACTGAGGGATTAAAGAAGAAATGTGCAAATCCTGATTTGAGTGCTGTCCTTTATACCAACCGGGCAGCAGCACAATACTATCTGGGCAATTTTCATTCTGCTCTCCGTGATGTGACAGCTGCCAAAAAGTTAAAACCGTGCTACCTCAAAGCAATAATAAGAGGTGCCTTATGCCATCTGGAACTGAAACACTTTGCCAAGGCTGTGAACTGATGTGATGAGGGACTGCAGATAGATGCCAAAGAGAAGAAGCTTCTGGAAATGAGGGCTAAAGTAGACAAGCTGAAGCTAATTGAACAGAGGGATGTGAGGAAAGCCAACTTGAAAGAAAAGGAGAGGAATCAGAATGAAGTTTTACTCCAGGATACCAAGGCTAGGAATATCAGGCTCTCTGAAGCTGCCTGTGAGGATGAAGTTTCAGCCTCAGAAGGTCTAGGTGAGCTTTTCCTGGATGGACTCAGCTCTGAGAACCCCCATGGAGCCAGACTGAGTCTAGATGACCAGGGCAGGCTGAGCTGGCCTGTGCTCTTTCTGTACCCAGAGTATGCCCAATCGGATTTCATCTCTGCTTTTCATGAGGACTCCAGATTTATTGATCATCTAATGGTGATGTTTGGTGAAACACCCTCTTGGGACCTAGAGCAAAAATATTGCCCTGATAATTTGGAGGTCTATATTGAGGATGAGGACAGGGCAGAACTGTACTGGGTGCCTGCCAAGAGCACCTTGCTGCAGGATCTACAGCACCACAGGCACTTTGTAAAAGCCCTGACACCAGCATTTTTGGTCTGTGTAGGATCCAAACTTTTTTGAAAGAATTATCTCTGGGGGAGAAAGGTGCACCAGGTAAGATGACTGAGCCAGGCCCCCTGGATCTCCTCCCTCACCCTCCTCTGCTGGGAACCTAGCATGCCTGAATCAGTCCAGTGCCTTATTTCTGTCACCCTGGGGATAGACCTTCCTAGTATCATGGTGGGGGAGGAGCCTCTGGATTCCCTGAACTGCAGCCTCTCTGGCTGGTCTTCACTTTCTTCAGTTGATATAAAACTCTGTGCCTTGGCCATGACATCCCTGGACTCCATCTCTAAAGGGACCATCTGCTGCAGTTACCACAGCAACTGACCTGACTGGCACCCTGGTCTGTGGAGACGGACTAGGGATCCAGTGACATGATTCTGAACTTTCGTGGAGTTCAACACCTTGTTACAGAAGCTACCCTTCAAACTGCATATCTACACACAAACAAACTATGCGTAGGATTCCAAGGCTTTAAAGCTGAGAGACCCTGACCTCAAGTTATTTCATGAGCACAGAGGGGAGCCATGTGGGGTTGCTGTAGATGCCTTGAGGTGAAATTGGGGCAGGAAAGCCACATCCTGCTCTGCATTTATAAAGACCATACAAACGGAGATCCTTGGTACCCCTAAAAAGATTGCCAGTTTTCTTCATCTTTGCCATATGGAGGACTGTGACAGACTTGGACAGTGGCCTCTGAGTTCCTCTGCAGTTTCACATTTTAGGATTCTGTGTCTTTTAAACTGGAAAATCTTCTAGTATGTTGGGTTGTTGTTATAAGGTATACTTTTGTCTGCAGCTGTTTGTTGCCTGCTTCCTAAGAGGGGTTTATCCATCCTGAAAAAAAAAAACAGTATTTTCTAAATTCTTCTTTGACTTAGAGCTTATTTATGAGTATGTTGTTTAATTTCCACATATTTCTGAGTTTTCCAGCTATCCTTCTGTTACTGGTTTCTGGTTTCATTCCTTCGTAGTCAGAGAAAATACTTTGTATGAGTTCAACCTTTTAATATTTACTGTGACTTGTTTTGTGGCCTAATATAAGATTTAGCTTGGAGAATGTTACATGTGCACTTGAGAAGAATGCATATTCTGGTGTTTGTGGTAGTGGAGTGTTATTTATATGTCTACTAATTCCAATTGTTTATAGTGTTGTTTAAGTCCTCTATTTCCTTACTGACATTTTGTCTATTTGTTCTATTCATTATTGAAATTTGGATATTAAAGTCTCCAAATATTATTGTAGAATTTTTTTTCTCAGTTTATTTCTGTTAATTTTTGTTTCATGTGTCTTGGGGGTTCTGTTTGATGTTCAGGTATGTTCATCATTGTCATATATTCTTGATGGATTAACCTTTTTTGAATACACAATTTTCTTGTCTTCTATGATACATTTTAAAGTCTAGGCAGCACATTCAGCAGTCCTGTGGATCTGTCTCTTGCTTCAACAGTGTTTGGATGGAACAGATCCAGGAACTCTCTTTCTTCCAGTCTCCAGCTACCTTCCAATCTTCTCTCCATTTTCAACCTTCGGGAACATCTTCTCGGTCATCTCCTGCTTCTGGGACCAGCCAACACCATTTTTGTAGTTAGCTCCTTCTTGCTAACCATGAGCTCCCAGATTTATCAGAATTATTCCATTGAGGTGGAGGCAGCCATCAACCACCTGGTCAATTTGTACTTGTGGATCTTCTAAACCTATTTCTCTCTGGGCTTCTATTTTGACCATGATGATGTGGCTCTGGAAGGCATGGGCCACTTCTGCAAATCAGCTGAGGAGAAGCATGAGAGCACCGAGCATCGCTCAAAGATACAAAACCAGTGTGGCAGCATGCTGTCTTCCAGGACATCCAGAAACCGGCT